>NC_000012.12:45035885-45187400 GCF_000001405.40 Homo sapiens | reverse complement strand
AGATGGAGCCTTGCTCTGTCGCCCAGGCTGGAGTGCAATGGCACAATCTTGGATCGCTGCAACCTCTGCCTCCTGGGTTCAAGCAATTCTCCTGTCTCAGCCTCCTGAGTAGCTGTGACTACAGGTGCACACCACCACGCCTGGCTAATTTTTGTATTTTTAGTAGAGACGGGGTTTCACCATGTTGGTCAGGCTGGTCTGGAACTCCTGACCTTAGGCGATCCACCCACCTCGGCCTCCCAAAGTGCTGGGATTATAGGCGTAAGCCACTGTGCCCAACATGGGTTATTGTTAAGCTGATTTAACATTGCAGTTCATACTCCACAACCAGAGTGGTCTTTTAAAAAGTAAGTGGCTTCTGTGATAGCTGGCCTCCAGTGAACCATGTCTCTCCATATTCACATGCTCATGTGTTCAGCTCCCTCATTTAATCTGAGTGCTGTCACTCACTTGAGCCAGTAGAACGCAGAAGTGATACTGTGCCAGTTTTAAAGCTGAAGCTTTAAGAAGTCTCAGCAGCTTCTACTTTTGTAATTTTAGATTCTGTGAGCTTTCATATGAGAGGTCTATGTATCTTGTTGGAGAGATCACATTAGAGCAAGCTTGTCCAACCCACAGCCTGCAGGCAACATGCAGCCTGCAACTTTGAATGTGGCCCAACACAAATTTGTAAACTTTCTTAAAACATTATGAGATTTTTTTGTGATTTTTTTTTTAAATTTTAGTTCATCAGCTATCATTCATGTTAGTGTATTTTATGTGTTGCCCAAGACAATTCTTCTTCCATTGTGGCCCAGGGAAGCCAAAAGATTGGATATCTCTGCATTAGAGAGACGCTGAAACAACATGGAGAGAGAGAGAGTCCAGTTGTGCCAGTGTCCAGCAGAGTCCTGCTGTCTAGTCATCTCAGCCAAGGTGCTAGAAAAGGGACTGAGCCATCTTGACTGTCCAGTTTAGTGGAACCCTCAACTAACTGTGGTCCCAGCTGACACCACACAAAGCAGAAGAACCAGGCAGCTGAGCCTGTCAACTCACAGAATTGTGAGAAATCATAAAATGGTAATTGCGTTAAAATACCATGTTTTGAGATAGTTTGTTATGTAGCAATAGATAACCAAAACGCTTAAAACTAAATCCAGCTTCTGAACCTCACAGTAGCCTGTAAGGCCCTACATGATCTGTCTCCTGCCTAACATCCTGGACCTCATGTTCTATTCCACTTGGTATGTCCTGCCGTATGGCTTATACCTATATGCCGTATGGCATGTAGTATGTCTCTCAGACATACTATCTGCTTGGAATGCAGTTGACCTACCCAGACAGCACATTGGAAGCAGATCTCTTCTTTTTTATTTTTTATTTTTATTTTTGAGACCGTATTGCTTTGTTGTCCAGGCTGGAGTGCAGAGGTGCGATCTTGGCTCACTGCACCCTCTGCCTCCCGGGTTCAAGCAATTCCCCTGCCTCAGCCTCCCAAGTAGCTGGGACTGCAGGCACACACCATGGTGCCCCGCTAATTTTTGTATTTTTGTAGAGACAGGATTTTGCCATGTTGACTGGGCTTGTCTCAAACTCCTGACCTCAGGTCATCCACCTGCCTTAGCATCCCAAAGTGCTAGTATTACAGGTGTGAGCCACCATGCCTGAAAGCAGAGCTCTTCTTGTTCTCTTCTCCTCCTCCCCACTCTACCATGCCAGTTTACTTGCTTCAGAGTAATTATTCTCTAAAAATTCCCATTTGTGTACTTGCTTATTGCCTATCTCTCCTCTCCACTCCCTCTAGAACCTAAGCTTCAAGAAAGCAGACACCTTGTCTATCTGGTCAACCAGATGAAGATTTATCATGAAGCTAAGGTTGCTTATGCTCAGGGGCCCTCATTTGCATATGCCCCTTCCAAAGCCACATATTTAGTTTTGTATTTGTAATTTTGTATTCCTTTTCTTAAAGAAGGTTCCCCAAATTGTTTAAACCTCAGGCCTCTGTCAAAGAAAAACAGCCACACATCAGTTAAAATGGTAAAACAGATTTTATTTAATAACTACTGACAGTGAGGAAGAGTTGAACTCCAACCCAAGTTGTACAGAGGTGATGGGGCTTTTCTTTTCTTTTTCTTTTTTATTTTTTTAGACAGGGTCTCACCTGTTACCGAGGCTGGAGTGCAGTGGTGCGATCTCGGCTCACAGCAACCTCCGTCTCCCGAGTTCAGGTGATTCTCCTGCCTCGGCCTCCCGAGTAGTTGGGATTACAGGTGTGTGCTGCCATGCCCAGCTAATTTTTGTATTTTTAGTAGAGATCGGGTTTCACCATGTTGGCCAGGCTGGTCTCAAACTCCTGGCCTCAGGTTATTCACCCATCTCAGCCTCCCAAAGTGCTGGGATTACAGGCATGAGCTGGCAGGCTGGGTGGCTGGTGATAGGGCTTTTCAAAGGGAGAATGAGGGAGTAGGAAGGGGGCATGGCAAGGGCTTGAGCAGAGTTAGGGAAGTGAAAAACCATAAAAAGCTGGAAGGGGAATGGATCTATGTGAAATCCATCTGGGTTTGCTAATCGGCATTTGTCAAATTTAAGCATCTAACCCTCCCAGAGAGATGGGGAGTTGGGCCCTATCATTTAGCTTCCTCATTCATCTTCTTTGAACAGCACTTTCATCCTGTCACTTCCCTATTTCAGAAATCTTCAGCAACTCCCACATGAATGGAGAATAAAATTCAGATCTCTGAGCCTGCCATTCAAGGCCAGCTACAACCTGCTTGTTCACCCTTACCTCCTACTTCTTGTCTTCATAAACACTACCATCGCCAGACAGGTCTCTTTACAGCTTCCTGAACATTTCTGGCTCCTTCCATCTACCCATTACTTCACATTACATCATCTGGAGATCAACTTTCCTCCACTCTTAGCCCCCTGTGAACCTTATCCCTGCTTCAAGATCCTTCTCCGTGAAGCCTTTCCAGACTCAGGTAGAGCCCGAGTTCTCTCCCTCTTCTGAATTCTGGCCAGGCAGGCCATTCGTTTAGAACTGCCTGCCATCCATGACCAGTTCCCTTTTCTCACCGAGCCCTGCCTGCTGATCTGGATTATACAAGCACTTCATCCAAGGACCATATCCTCACTGCAGCCATTCCTAGTTTAGAGGCCCCAGTGGAGATTGAGGTCCCAGAGAGGCCAGTTGGGTTGTGTATTTGGAACCCACTGAGAATAAATAACAGAATTTTATAGCTTCTTTGAAACCAAGTAAAATCACCAGAAATGTGAACAGAAAAGAAATAAAGTCATGTAAGATGGGGATATAATAATTTAGTGTAAGTTCCTAAATCACAAATTCTTCAAAGGTAGCTCTATAATAGTTCTGGAAAAATACCTGGTGCAGGAGCATTTACTGCAAGATTGCACACCCAAAGATATTACAGTATAGCAATTGATAATGTGGTGATAATGGTGGCAGTGATATTGCTGGCAATGCAAAGCAAACTCTAGTCCTTTAAGGTAAATGAGACATTGGTATTGTTTGATGGGGTCCTGCAATGAGCAGAAATTATTCACTGCCTTCTATGTTAACAACACCAAAGGAAACAAAGTTTTTCCAAAGGGGAGAATAATTTATATTTCATTTTTTAAAAAATGGTTACATTTTCCCCAAGGCATAATGGAAGAGTCTCCTTCAAACAATATACTTCTAGAAAAGAAAGTACTTTTAGGAAATGGGGAAGAGCTTTTGTTTCCTGCTAGCATCAGGCTTTTTGTCTTCTTTTGTGTCTTCTTTTCAGCGATAGGCAAAACGACAGTTTTTTAGTAGAAGTTAAAATTATAGCCCTACTAAAATCTACTAAAATACAGTATTTTATTTCAGTTTAGACTCATTTCCAATTGCATTTAATCTTTTCCAGGCTTGTTATTGCTTTTTCTTACAATTTCCAATGTGAAATGACATTTTTAGTCTCTTTTGCCCTCTATTGAATTGCCCTGGTAATAACAGTAACTAGCAAAATGCTAGTTCTCTAGCATGTAGGAGAAGACATAAATATTTGATCTCAGATCAGTGATGTGTGTAATTGTTGCTATAGAGGAAGCCTTTGATTGCTGCCCAAATCTGGAGGCTTATTAAAATTTAATTTCTGGATCTTTTTCACATATATAAAACTCAGAACATTTCATAGTATATAAAGTAACCCTTCCCTGTTCCTATGGCAAGCTACTCTTTCTCCCAGGGATGGAGCAGTAAGAAATGCGTCTCATCCACAGGAATAGGATTTAGATATGAAAGAGCAATTCCTTCAATGAGTACCGAAAAATTCAGGAAAGAAATATCAAGGGAAATTGTGGATCATCATGTCTAGAAATCATCACATATGAGACAGATTCTGATTTGTCTGCATAACTTTTGGATTATTAATATGGCTAGTTTCTGAAAAATTATAGTAAAGCAAAAGAGGAAAAAATAGATATGAAAGTAATTAATATATTAGCTTGCCTTCATAATTTAATAGCAATTAAATGCTATTCATAAATTATATTTGCAGAATTCCAACCATAAAAAAACATAAATTATGCAAAATTATTTGGGCAACAATGGCAGAAGTATAATATGTAAAGTTTTTCCTTTTAATACTTACATTACAATTGTAAGTGGGATTTGGCTACTGGCTGACTCATCTCATTATATCCAGATGAATGAAGTACTAAAGAAGCAGATAATCCTGAAGCTTAATTTTATATGTTAGTTTCAAAGCCTCTCAGCTGTACTCAAAGCTGTTATAGTAGCACAACTGACTGATCTATCTTCTACCTCTTCTGGTTTCCCTCCTTCCCTGATAGGATAGGACATGAATCCTAAGGGATTAAAAAAAAGTTAGCAAAGCAATAATGTAGGTAATCCAAGAGGGCTAGATATACATATCTTCCCTTAGATAATTCAAGATTGACCGAAAAGTAAATGTAAAAACAATCTAATGAGATTTTTAGAAACCTAAAGAGCTCGGATTCTCTTGTTGGCAGGCATTATGCAATTAATTTCACTACTGGGATTGAAGATTAGAATGGCTAAAAGTACAAGTTAAGAAAATAGACTCTGGAGTTGGCCGGGCGCGGTGGCTCACACCTGTAATCCCAGCACTTTGGGAGGCTGAGGCGGGTGGATCACTTGAGGTCAGGAGTTCGAGACCAGACTGGCCAACGTGGTGAAACCCTGTCTCTACTAAAAATACAAAAATTAGCCGGGTGTGGTGGCATGCGCCTGTTATCCCTGCTACTTGGGAGGCTGAGGCAGGAGAATTGCTTGAACCTGGGAGGTGGAGATTGCAGTGAGCCAAGATTGCGCCACTGCACTCCAGCCTGGATAATGGAATGAGACTGTTTGTCTCAAGAAAAAAAAAAGAAACTAGACTCTGGAGTCAAACAATCTAAAAGTTCAACATGGGTTATGCCACTTAGTTGCTGTGAGATCTTAAGCAAGTTATGTAACTCGCTAGGCCTCAATTTCCTCATTTGGGTAATGAAAAAAATAAAACTTCATAGAGTTGTTCTGAAAGTTAAATGAGAAAATATCTTTAAAATACTAGAAAAGGACTTGGCCAGAACAGACTTCTGATTAATACTAGTCATTATTAGCATCATCACAATGATTAAAATTCTCAACATTGTTATTTTAGCATTAATAATAAAGATAATAGTAATAGCCTTAAGAAGGAAAATTTCCCTAGGCATTTGCTAGAAAAGAAAGCAAAGAGAGGAGGTCTGACTTCTGTGCATGCTTCCACCCTGGACTTACATTATGCTTGCAACTCAATATTGTGTTTGAGGCTGTGACCCAGGGCAGGATAAAGCCCACAATATTTCTTGGCATCGCACATGAGACACCATTGTGATCTTGTGTTTACTGTCTACTTTCTAAGCAGAGTTCTGAGTTGTTCAGGTGACTGATCAACCAGCAACCATGGAAGTCTTGAGCTGTCAGTTATGTAGTTCTTCATTTTGGGTATACATGGTCCTGGTTTGGGCCAAAAATTAGAATGAGGGACTTATTTGACTTTATAACTTCTTCATATAGAAAACTGTTATACAACCCTGGGCCCCAAAAGTCAGACAGGATGAGATTTTTATTCTCAAGACATATGCATAATTCTGAAGTAAAAAGTAGCAATTTGTTTCAAATATAGAAATATGGAAATTGAATATAAGAAGTTATTTTTCTTTTTTGCCATACTATTTGAAAAGTCCATGATCATTATTTCTGAAAATTAATATGTATCATATTAAACTATTTAAACAGGGTAAAAAGTATGCCATGAAAATAAATTATCCTGCCACCCTAACCCTGGTATTTGAGTTTACTTTCTCAGAAATAAATATTATTACTGTTTGATTATTATGTTAAACATAATCTTTTAATCAAGATACCTTTCTCTGGGATTTTCTTGGTGTTATACTGAGCAGGGGTCTAAATATCAGAAGACTCCTCATCATCAAATTAAAAAACAATTGGGCCTAGCACGGTGGCTTATGCCTCTAATCCCAGCACTTTGGGGGCCAAGGCAGGCAGATCACTTGAGGTCAGCAGTTCGAGACCAGCCTGGCCAACATGGTGAAACCTTGTCTATACAAAAAATACTAAAATTAGGCCGGGGGAATCCCAGCACTTTCGGAGGCTGAGGCGGGCAGATCATGAGGTCAAGAGATAGAGAGCATCCTGGCCAACATGCTGAAACCCCGTCTCTACTAAAAATACAAAACATTAGCTAAGTGTGGTGGTGTGTGCCTGTAGTCCCAGCTACTGGGGAGGCTGAGGCAGGAGAATTGCTTGAACCTAGGAGGCGGAGATGGCAGTGAGCCAAGATCACACCACTGCACTCTAGCCTGGTGACAGAGCAAGACTCCATCTCAAAAAAAAAAAAAAAAAAAAAATTAGCCTAGTGTGGTGGCACATGCCTGTAGTCCCAGCTACTTGGGAGACTGAGGCAGGAGAATCACTTGAATCCTGGAGGCAGAGA
Source organism: Homo sapiens (assembly GCF_000001405.40). Classification (NCBI taxonomy): domain Eukaryota; kingdom Metazoa; phylum Chordata; class Mammalia; order Primates; family Hominidae; genus Homo; species Homo sapiens. The sequence continues at coordinate 45,180,414 of NC_000012.12, read as the reverse complement.
TTGCAGTGAGCCGAGATCACACCACTGCACTCCAGCTGGGGCACCAGCAAGACTCCATCTCAAAAAACAAAACAAAAGAAAACAATTGCTTTGTCACTCTAGAAACTCTAAGGAGGCAAAGTCAAATATGTTGTGTCAAAATCTCTAAAGGGATGCTCCTAATGGTTCCAGTATTATAAAATGACCTGGGAAAAGCACTGAGGATATTTTCTAATTAGATATGGACCTAGATTTTAAATTTGGCTTTGGGACCAGGACTATCCCATTACCTTAATTTGGATCTGAAAGATTTATCATGATTTACATGCATAGTTCTGAATACAGTTTAATTAGGCACATATGATTGCAGGATAAATACAGACAGAGGAGTGTTATTTTTGTGTGTCTTGTTATCTCCAAGCTAAATATGAATGGCAACAGCAGTGCAACACTTGAATTGTTCTACATTTGTTATCCTACAAAATGGGCTCTTCTTGAGTGATAACTTTTAAACAATCAGAAACCCAATAAGATATTTTGGTCATTGTCCTTCAGTTAGCTGCTACATGGTATGCTTAGTTAGTTGCATTATCTTTTCAGTTGGACCTTTGACTTGATAGAAACTGATGATAAAAAGATGAGGTTCTTTTCCTGCTCACAAACATCTTTTATTATTATTATTATTATTATTATTATTATTATCATCATCATCATTAGTATGAGACAGAGTTTCTCTCTGTCACCCATATTGGAGTGCAGTGGCACCATCTCAGCTCACTGCAACCTCCACCTCCCAGGTTCAAGTGATTCTCCTGTCTCAGCCTCCCAAGTAGCTGAGATTTCAGGCACCCACCACCATGCCTGGCTAATTTTGTATTTTTAGTAGAAACAGGGTTTCACCATGTTGGCCAGGCTGGTCTTGAACTCCTGATCTCAAGTGATCCACTCGCCTTGGCCTTCTAAAATGCTGGGATTACAAGTGTGAGCCATTGTGTCCAGCCCACAAACATCTTTTATATCAGGTAAAAGTAGATCAGTGGTCAGAAATTATAGCAGATGGCAAATTGTGTGTTGCCAGTAACAAGCTATAAGTTATGCCTCCTCTGCCAATACATTTCACACTCTTCTGCTATTGAGTTACTGCTTAGTGGCCTTTCGTTTCAACTTGAAGAACTTTTTAAAGCATTTATTTTAAGGTAGGTGTAGTGGTGATGAACTTCAGCTTTTGTTTGTCTGGGAAAGTCTTTATCTCGCTTTCATTTTTGAAGGAGAGTTTTTCTGGGTATGGTATTCTTGGCTGGCAGGCTTTCTTCTTTAGTACTTCAAATATATCATCCCACTCCCTTTTGGCTTGTGAGGTTTCTGCTTTACCTCTCTTTCATTTTTGAAGGAGAGTTTTTCTGGGTATAGTATTCTTTGTTGGCAGGTTTTTCTTCTTTCAGTACTTCAAATATATCATCCTACTCCCTTTTGGCTTGTGAGGTTTCTGCTGAAAAATCTGCTGATAATCTACTGGAGGACCCCTTGTATGTGACAAATTGTTTCTCTTGCTGCTTTCAAAATTGGTATTGTCTTTGGCTTTTGACAATTTGAGTATAATGCATTTCAGTGTGGATTTCTTTTTTTTTTCTTTTTCTTTTCTTTCTTTCTTTTTTTTTCTCTTTTTGAGTTGAAGTCTTGCTCTGTTGCCTAGGCTCAAGTGCAGTGGCATGATCTTGGCTCACTGCAACCACTGCCTCTCAGTTTCAAGTGATTCTCATGCCTCAGCCTCCCAAGTAGCTGGGATTACAGGCACCCGCCACCATGCCCAGCTACTTTTTGTATTTTTAGTAGAGATGGGGTTTCATCATGTTGGTCAGGCTTCTCATGAACTCCTGACCTCAAATGATCTGCCCACCTTGGCCTCCCAAAGTGCTGGGATTACAGGAGTGAGCCACTGTGCCTGGCCCATGGATTTCCCTAGGTTCATATTTGGCATCCCTTTGGGTTTCTTGGATCTGGATGTTCATTCCCTTCCTAAGATTTGAGAAGCTGTCAGTTGTTAGTTCTTTGAATCAGTTTTCTCATTCTTTCTCTCTTTCTTCTCCTTTTGAAACTCTCACAATACATATTTGGTCTGCTTAATGGTGTTCTGTAATTCTCTTAGGCTTACTTTTACTCTTTTTCATTCTTTTTTCTTTTTGCTCCTCTGAAGGAATTATTATCAGTGACCTGTCTTTGAGTTCACTGATGATCCTTTCTTCTGCTTGATCTAGTATGCTGCTGAACCCCTCTAGTGAATTTTTCAGGTCATTTGTGTTCTTCAGCTTCATATCTTATATTTCTCTTTGATGCTTTTAAATATTTGCTACCTCTTCCTTGAAATTCTCATTTTGTTCATGCATTGTTTCTCTTAACCTCAATGAGCATCTTCATGAGAGCTATTTTTAATTCTCTATCAGACAAGTTAAATAACTGTTTCATTAGGTCATTTTCTGAAGATTTATTTCATTCCATTGTTTGGAACATCTTTGCCTGGTGCTTCATTTTTCTTGACCCCCTGTGTTGTGTCTACATGTTAGACAAAGCGGGTACCTCTCTCAGTCTTCATAAACTGGCATGGTAAAGGTGAAGACCCCCACCAGTCAGCCTAGTCATAGATTATGAGGGTCTCTTCCAACTCCTTCCCTCCCCAGGAAGAAGCAGTTAGCTGTGTTTTGCCTATTTGCCCTGTGCTAAGCCATGGGTAGGGGAGAGCTATGGCATCTACTAGCCAGAGCTACTGTTTCTTCTCTCCTCCAGGTGACTAGATTGTACTGAACCCATTAGAGCTTCAGGACTGGTGAGACAGATGCAAGTTCTTTGGGAAGGCCTGGAGGAGTTATGGATCAATTCTTTCCCTCCTCAGGAGAGGCTAAATGCTGGCATTCTTATAAGCTTGCTCTGTGCTGAGCAGGGGAGAGGAACAATGACATCTACCAGCCCAAGTCACTGTATCCATTTTCCTCCAGGTGGTTAGACTGTGCCAAATCTTTCAGCGTTCCAAGACTGGAAAAACAGAAGTGAGTCCTTTCTGGAGCCCCCTTAGAAGAGTTAGGGTGCTGTGAACCAACCCCTTTTATCCTCTAGGTGAAACTTGGAGCTAGTGGGTCTCTTCTTGATTGTATGGCACTGTGCCAGGGCAGTGTCTCTAGCAAGAGGGTGTCTTGAGTCTCCCTAATAGTTTCAGTGAGTTGGTTTCATAGTCTCCTGGCATGCAGAAGTCTTTCAATTCATTTCTGATTTCTCACAAAGGAATTTGTCCATGAATTGTTGCTAAATTGCTGTGTCTGTGGGCTGGGTTGAGGTGGGCCCAAGCTTCCTACTCTGCCACCAGAATGCATTCATTCATTCCTTCTTTCTTTCACTCTCTCTCTTTCTCTCTTTCTTTCTTTTTCTTTCCTCTTTCTCATGCCTTCTCACTTGGGGCGCCAGCCATTGATATGGGATTGCTCTTTTCCCCAAAGGGGAAAATATATGTTAACATGTATTAACCACTAAAATTGAGCATTAGCTCTTCTTTCAGCTGCTCTTTATAGATGACAAATGCAGGTGAAGAAGGTGGTCTCTGAATTTAGAGAGATTATCTCAAAGAAGAAAGGGATTGTCTATTAATAGATACTAGGGAGACTTGGGAAGTTTGAATAAGCTTACCAGGGTTAAGTTTCTGAGAGGTAGGGTTGAAGATTTTTAACTGGAAAAGTTGATACTTCATCAGTTAGAATCTATTATCTCTAAAGTAAGACTGAGTTATAAAGAGAATCAAGAAGACTCACAATCAAGGAGTCTAGAAGAATCCAATTTTTTTCTCAAGAAAAAATACAGAATCTGAAAAACTAATATTAATTATCATAAGTATGTTCTTTAAGAAGGTGGGATGGAATACTAAGCACTTGGGATTTCAACAGCATTTCACTTAGTCTTACTCCATTTTGTTGTTGTTGTTTCTTAATATTTTTTCTTTTTCCTTTTTTTTTTTTTTAGCATCTATTGTTGGGGTGATCGGACCTAACACCAGGTTGTGGGGACAACGAAGTCCAGAAGAGTGAAAGGAATGAGAAAAGACAGTTTGAGAGAGAAAGTGGGCCCAGGGGGCCAATGCGAGTATGGAGGCTGTGAAGGCCCCGAGCCCTGGAAGCCCAGACTATTTATTGGTGATCAAACAAAGAAACAGGTGGTGAGAATGTGGGGTTGAAAGGGAGCATTGCATTAAGCACATGATTTACAGCTGTGATGGTTTAGCATATGCTCTGCTACTTGAGATAATGGAGAGCAGGTTCTTTTAACTCAAGATACAATAGATCCTGGGAGAGCAGGGAGCAAGGAGCCAGCCAGCCTAGACACATTCCAGAGGCCATGAGCCCTGGATTCTTTCCAAGCCACAAGGGGTTTTATGCCCTGGGCTTAGATTATGGTGCATCAGGGTAGCCTTCCACCCTTTGGCGCAGAGCTTGGTGTTCCAAAGGCCACGAGGGGTTTTAGACCCAGGATCCCAGACATATTTCAAGACTTTTTTGTATTATGTCAGACATGCAAGCCCTGCCTCAGCTTCTCTCCCAACACTCAGCTTTTCTCCCAACATTTATTAAATAGCTCCTATGTGCAAAGCAGTGTGCCGGGTACCTTAGTCACAGTGGGCACCAACATTTAACCAGTCTCTGGCTACATGAACCTTAGAAATGCTTAGATAAAAAAGGTACATATCAGCAGTTATGTTATATATATAAATTATGTAAATAAGTTATTTTATACCAAAAAAGTACGTATTTTCCAGTGCAACTTAATTAATTGGTATTCTGATTTATACATCAATCTAAGATGACTTTGTTAATATGAGTCCACAAGAGGCTATCTAGATACGTGGGTTAAATTGAGTTTCTACACCTGCTAAGCTGAGAGCCAAACTGTGGTGCTTGGAGACGCATTAAAGGCACAATCACTCTTGGCAGTGCTTCTGGGTGCTCAGCAGGCATCTCACCCTAAGAACTCTAGGCCATTCTGATTCATTTCAGTAGTAGGGAGCAAGTTTTTTTTTTTTTTTTTTGAGATGGAGTCTCACTCTGTTGCCAGGCTGTCAGGCTGGGGTGCAATGACACCATCTCTGCTTACTGCAACCTCTGCCTCCCAGGTTCAAGCAATTCTCCTGCCTCAGCCTCCCCAGAGTAGCTGGGACTACAGGTGCACGCCACCACACCCAGCTAATTTTTGTATTTTTAGTAGAGACGGGGTTTCACCATGTTGGCCAGGATGGTCTCAATCTCGTGACCTTGTGATCCACCCACCTCGGCCTCCCAAAGTGCTGGAATTACAGGCATGAGCCATCGTGCCCGGCCGGGAGCAAGTTCTTATACCCGTTCACATATACCACTACACAGATGCCCTCACTGAAAAATATGAAAAATAAACATAGAGTTTTGTTTTTGTTTTAAATAATAAGAGGTGGGTATGAGGGGGATTTTTCAAATTAGAAATATTGGCATTAGAAGGTAGATATAATTCAACAGTTAAAGAAAGTGTAATTAAAAACCATGATTTACCCCGGGCCGAGGGTGAGGCAGGTCGGGCGTCCCCACACCGGGCCCGGGCACCGGGAGTGGGCGTCTGGGCAGCACCGGGTGATGGCCCTGCTGCTGGTGCTCCTCGCCTCCTGGGGCCTTGGGCAATGAGGGGGCCGGTGGGCGTGGGCTGAGTGGCCGTGGGCGCCATGGAGTGGGTGCTGTACAAGTGGACCAACTATCTGAGCAGTTGGCAGCCTTGATGGTTCTTTCTCTGTAGGGGAATATTGTCCTATTATGATTCTCCTGAAGATGCCTGGAAAGGTTGCAAAGGGAGCATACAAATGGCAGTCTGTGAAATTGAAGTTCATTCTGTAGATAATACATGCATGGACCTGATAATCCCCGGGGAACAGTATTTCTACCTGAAGGCCAGAAGTGTGCCTGAAAGATAGCGGCGGCTGGTGGCCCTGGGATCAGCCAAGGCTTGCCTGACTGACAGTAGGACCCAGAAGGATAAAGAGTTTGCTGAAAACACTGAAAACTTGAAAACCAAAATGTCAGAACTAAGACTCTGCTGTGACCTCCTTGTTCAGCAAGTAGATAAAACAAAAGAAGTGACCACAACTGGTGTGTCCAATTCTGAGGAGGGAATTGATGTGGGAACTTTGCTGAAATCAACCTGTAATACTTTTCTGAAGACCTTGGAAGAATGCATGCAGATTGCAAATGCAGCCTTCACCTCTGAGCTGCTCTACCACACTCCACCAGGATCACCACAGCTGGCCATGCTCAAGTCCAGCAAGATGAAACATCCTATTATACCAATTCATAATTCATTGGAAAGGCAAACGGAGTTGAGCACTTGTGAAAATGGATCTTTAAATATGGAAATAAATGGTGAGGAAGAAATCCTAATGAAAAATAAGAATTCCTTATATTTGAAATCTGCAGAGATAGACTGCAGCATATCAAGTGAGGAAAATACAGATGATAATATAACCGTCCAAGGTGAAATAATGAAGGAAGATAGAATGGAAAACCTGAAAAATCATGACAATAACTTGTCTCAGTCTGGATCAGACTCAAGTTGCTCTCCAGAATGCCTCTGGGAGGAAGGCAAAGAAGTTATCCCAACTTTCTTTAGTACCATGAACACAAGCTTTAGTGACATTGAACTTCTGGAAGACAGTGGCATTCCCACAGAAGCATTCTTGGCATCATGTTGTGCTGTGGTTCCAGTATTAGACAAACTTGGCCCTACAGTGTTTGCTCCTGTTAAGATGGATCTTGTTGAAAATATTAAGAAAGTAAATCAGAAGTATATAACCAACAAAGAAGAGTTTACCACTCTCCAGAAGATAGTGCTGCACGAAGTGGAGGCGGATGTAGCCCAGGTTAGGAACTCAGCGACTGAAGCCCTCTTGTGGCTGAAGAGAGGTCTCAAATTTTTGAAGGGATTTTTGACAGAAGTGAAAAATGGGGAAAAGGATATCCAGACAGCCCTGAATAACGCATATGGTAAAACATTGCGGCAACACCATGGCTGGGTAGTTCGAGGGGTTTTTGCGTTAGCTTTAAGGGCAACTCCATCCTATGAAGATTTTGTGGCCGCGTTAACCGTAAAGGAAGGTGACCACCGGAAAGAAGCTTTCAGTATTGGGATGCAGAGGGACCTCAGCCTTTACCTCCCTGCCATGAAGAAGCAGATGGCCATACTGGACGCTTTATAAGAGGTCCATGGGCTGGAATCTGATGAGGTTGTATGATGGCTGCTGGGCAGCACCTCCTAACTTCAGGGAATAAAGTGCTAAAGTGTAAAAAAAAATAAAAATAAAAATAAATAAATAAATAAAATTAAAAAAAATAAAAACCATGATTTCACAGCATCAATCATGCTTTTTATATTCCAAACTTCAAGAATTCATCCTATTATATTTTTATTATTTTACATTCAGAAATTACCCAAAGCGTTGATCTAAATCTACCATGTGATTACAAATTTCTTAAAAAGTCATGAAGTCCTTCACAAATTATTCATTTACTCAAGATTAAGTGTTATATTGGCTATTACATTCTCTAATAAATCATCTTATCTATTATTTGTACAAAGGATTTACACATTTGACTATGGTTTTTAGCTTGCTGCTTATTAAATCTTAAGCCCTTGGAAGATGAAATTTTAAAAATGCTTGAGATAATATATTTTACATGAATTGAATGATTCAAAAACAACCATAAAAAAGCAAATTCAATTGTATCTACTTGGAATTGCTAAATGAGTTCCATCTATGTGGTTTTTAATTGTCCTCTATCTTGTAACTTTTACCAGTATTTCATAACTAGATGTTTTCCTTAATTACTCTGGCCCTACAATGAGAATAAAAATAAGCTAGCACAAACATACCCTGACACAATTGTGCAGAAAACTCACCTTGGACTTTGCTAATGCATGCAAAGCATATCCCCAAGGCTTCTTTTTTTCTAGTCTCTTTTTTCCCAGGGGACGGCTCTGGAAGTGATCAACAGATTGTCTCCCTCTGAAGGGTATGGCTTGAGTTGAAAAAGATTTCAACCATAAATAGGTATTTATTTTCTTTGTGCCTGGAGAATATATGCTCATTAATTTTAAGAAATTTCAGCATTGTGATTTATTACAATAATAGTAATAATAATACTGCTAAAATTGGCATCATGTATATATTAAGTACTTAACCGGGTTATAACACCACATTGTTATGTAACATGAAAAGTCATTACTTAACATTGAGTTCATTAAAGCCACACACACAAAATGTAAATTACAAAGGAAATGGGCAAGTACATTCTCAAAATATGTAAAATTTCAGTGCTTTCTATATGGTTAGCACTATGTCAAATGCATTATGTGTATTCACTCCTAATCTTCATGACAACTTTGGAAAATAGATACTATTAGTCTCCCCATGTTAGAGGTAAAGAAAGTAGAGTCGGCTGGGTGCGGTGGCTCACGCCTGTAATCCCAGCACTTTGGGAGGCTGAGGCGGATGGATCACTTGAGGTGTGGAGTTCGAGACCAGCCTGACCAACATGGTGAAACCCTGTCTCTACTAAAAATACAAAATTAGCCAGGCGTGGTGGTGCATGCCTGTAATCCTAGCTACTTGGTAGGCTGAGGCAGGAGAGTCACTTGAACCCGGGAGGCAGTGGTTGCAGTGAGCCGAGATCGTGCCACACTCCACCCTGGGCAACAAGAGTGAAACTCTTCTAAAAAAAAAAAAAAAGAAAAAAAAGAAAAAGAAAGTAGAGTCACAGAGACATGGCAAGTTAGTGTCAAGATCTGGACCCAGGCAGTCTGGCTCCAGTGCTGGAAGTCTTTACCATTAAGCTATGTTACTGCTTTGTGACACCACAGAATCACAAATACTATGATTCTGAACAAATCACAGAAAAGAACCAGGGAAGAGAAATTGGAGAACCCAGAAGAGAAATCAAGGATCATTTATTTCAGTTCTTTTTAAGATACATAATCACTATTTTCCCAAGCCCATGGATAAAACTAATGTTGCAAAACAATATTGGTGGGCAGTGTCTGTGCCATACCAGGAGAGGAGAGAGGGCATGAGCTGTTAGACTTCAAAGGTTCTGGTCTGGCCAGTAAGATCACATTTGTGGGAGACAGATGTATCTTACCCAGATATAATTCAAAGGTCATCACCCAGCAACCTTCTGATTATTTTGTTTTCCACATCAGTCTGTCGAAAGGGAGAGTATGCTCTTATTACAAAGGCATGATTGTTCTCATACCTGAGACAGCAATGCCTTTTTACAAATTAATAGACTGATATTTATCTTTATATGCCCTGCCCCAAGAATCTACCACACAACATATCCCCCTGGTCATCCTGCATTAGATGTAAGGGGAAAGCTAGTGAGCACCACACCTCCAACAGTACTCAGAAGTCCCTCCCTTTCCCCATCCTTGCACTGCACTTGGGCCAAACCACTGGTGCTTTAGAATGGAGGGTTCCAGGAGTTTCCATCGTCCCCCAAACAAATTGACCCTTGGTGGCCCACCCTTGCATTCCCAACCCATGTCCCCCAGCACTTCAGGCCCTCCAAGTGTGTCATTAGTTACAACAAAACATTCTCAAAACAACAATAACAATAATTATATCAAAATCCTGGAGTCACTGTGATAAACTGAGGCTCAGAGAGTTTAGATGACAATCAAGGAGAGAGCTGAGCAGGACCAAATCCAATCTCCTGCTTCTCTGCTTTATGCTGCCCCCTGGTGGTGCACTGTCAATAGCCCAGCTTCCAAAGGCACCTTGCGGAACATGTTCTCCCTCCCCGTCCCTTCCATTCTTTCTCTCTGAAGAAGAGAAAGGGATAAACTACTGATGCACAGAATAACTTAGGAGTTGAGTCAGAAAGACATGTTCTTGTCCATAGTTCAAACCAGTTTTTCCAAATATTTTGAGAAAAGATGACCCCGTCATGAATTCAAATTTAACTAAAATGCTGTGATTGCATTACAAGCAAATTTAAAAGGTCCATTTGTGTATGACTTGATATTCTGAAAGACGAGAAAAGTATAGTAGCCTTTGGAACATATTGCTGTAATGCCACTGGCAAATTATTTTTAGAGAACACCATAGAACCTTAGCATTCTACCTTTCTAGACTATATAGTTTATATATTTTATTGACCTTCGGGTCTGTGAGAAGGACACAAATATTGGCAACATTATACTGCCAATATAAAGGATATTATACTGGCAATATAAAGGATATTGTTTCTTGACCAGCCTGGGCAACATTGCGAGACCCCTTCTCTACAAAATAAATAAATTTTTAAAAAGTTGGCCAGATGTGGCGGCTCACGCCTGTTATCCCAGCACTTTGGGAGGCCCAGGCAGGTGGATCACCTGAGGCCAGGAGTTTGAGACCAGCCTGGCCAACATGGTGAAACCCCATTTCTATTAAAAATACAAAAATTAGCCAGGTGTGTTGGTGCACGCCTGTAGTCCCAGCTACTTGGGAGGCTGAGACAGGAGAATTGCTTGGACCCAGGAGGAGGAGGTTGCAGTGAGCCGAGATCATGCCACTGCACTCCAGCCTGGGCAACAGAGTGAGACTCCATCTCAAAACAAAACAAACAAACAAAAAACATTGATTCTTTTTAAAGTATTTCAAAGGAACCTGCTGTATTTGGTATACGTTTTCATTTTCTTCTGACGTATTCCTAATAATATATGTACATGTAACTGTCACATAACAAGATAGTAACATGGAATTGCTACTTTCAGTTTATAGCCTCAGAAGCAGGTATCCAAAATTTCACATACATCCACATACCTTTACACATATATTATACCTATGTGTATATATAATTATATGTTGATTACTATATTCTACTAAATCTTAGAAAGGTATGTGAAGAGAAAAACATTCTGGTCAAAGCAAACTCACATACTCAAGTTAAAAATCAAGTGTAACCTTAGAAACCATCTTTCTAAATTCATAAGCCAAGAAACAAAGTTTCAATTTCCTATTTCTTTAGTTTACTCTAAGAGAAAGAGGGCTCTGGTCACTTAAAATTTTGCAAAATCTGTTTCAATCACATTTCACAAGACACTTGCTACAGCAGTGAATTTGAACCCAAGAATAAATAGCAATTCTGTAAACATTTACTCTTTCTTGCAATCTACAATATGGTCTCTAGACCAGCTGTTCTCCACAACAGGTGCAACAGATGGTATCATTCTCCAGTGCTCACTTAGAGGCCTTTGTTGTGCCCTTTCTACCAGTGGGCAAAAGTGAATACTTACTTTGGTGAATTGTATTCATCTTCTCAGAGGACAGAGGGCTTTAGTTTTGGCTCCCTTTCCAATAGTCTGGTTGTTCACAGTGTAGTAACTAGGAAATTTTCGGGTCGTGATTCTATCTGTTGGCTGTGAGAAGAAAGAACGGATCAAACCTCTGCAGAGTTGGTTTGGAATCTGTTGAGTTATATGCTGGGTTTGGGGGGGTTTTCTTTCATAAATTCATCAAAGTATGAATTCCTCTGCTTTGGAAGTAGTGACATCTTTAATATGGGAGAAGAGACATTGTACTTGTTAAGTCATGATGTCTGCAGAAGGTTCTGAACAAAATCTACTAAAGACAGTAATGTTGAAAATAGATAATGAAGGGACTTCAATTTAGAATGATAGGAAAATCCAGTTGCTTGCTTACATTTTCCAAATCATGCAGGAAAAGAAAAGTGAGCGGAGGTTTAGAAAAGGATATATACAAATGTGAGCATTTAGAAAACTGCTGATCTTAAGTCTACATAATGATTTAAATTACTTCAAATATATGAGTTGTTTTGATAATGCCAGAAATGTAGGCAGTAATCTATTTTCTACTTCTATTGCTTGTCAATTATAGCAGGAAGTCTTCAAGATGTAAATTACACAAAGAATTGTTCTTACCATAAGCAGTACTATACTTCAGTAGTTTACCAAAGGAGTAGACAGTGCAGGGACATATCATAGAATTTTAGCATAGTTAAAACACCTCAGCAAGTTCACAGAAATCCCTTATACAACTTGCATCATGGATGTTAAAGAGCTCTTCCTTAAGCGTTTTCAGTAATAAGAGAATCACCATCTCAAAAGGCAAATCATTCTGTTTTCTAATCATTAGCCTGTTCTTTTTCATTTTAAGGTTGGAATCTATCACTTGTAACTTCATCTCTTGGTCTGCTCTCTGAAGCTGTAAAAATAAAATCTTTCCTCTTCTATCTTTTAACCTACTTGATATTTAAAGTTCACTATTGTATTTTGCTTAAGTCTTTCCCCTTTCCTGAATAAGTATCCCCATTTCCTCAAAGCAATCATAATATAATCAATAATATTTAATTCCTCATCCACCATCCCCTGATAGTGCTCAAGTTTGAGCTTTTGAAATCTCTAACACATTCCTGTATCTTGAAACTCTCATCCTCTTTTATCTCTGTTTCCCCTCTTAAAGATAACCAAGCAAATTCCCTCTCTCCCAAGCCCTCTAGTTTTAATTTTATTTCTCTTTCCTTCTTCAAAGTTGATGTTTTTGAAAAAGTATTTTGTGCTCACTTCCCCATTTCCATCCTTTCAAAGCCATTGTAATCTAGTGTTCATCTTCATATGCTGCCGAAATCATGTGTGGTAGTATCCCTGTTGACCCTTAAAGATCAGTGGGCAAAGGGATCTGAGAGTGGACCTAAGTGTGAGACAGACACGGTTTCCTGGATCCACCACTTGCTAGTTTTGTGACTTTGGCTATGTATTTAACTTCTTTCAGTCTTGTTTCCTCATTTTGATAAAAAGAATTGTTGTGAAACATAATGCAAGGAAAGTGTTAAAGTATCTGGCCTGCAGTTTGTAACCAACATCTTTGGTAGTCATTATTATTATTATTTGCCCTCACCAATGGTTATCTTACTTCATTTTTGCTGCTGTAACAAAGTATCCAAGACTGAGTAATTTATAAAGAATAGAAACCCATTTGCTTATAATTGTAGAGGCTGGGAAGTCCAAGACCAAGACACTAGTAGATTCAGTTGTCTGGCGAGGGCTTCTGTCTGCTTCCAAGATGGCCTCTGTAGCTACATCCTCTGAAGGGGAGGAACGTGATGTCCTCACATGTGGCAGAAGGGTAAGCAAGCCTCTTTTAAAAGGGCCTCAGTCCCATTCACAAAGTGGGGAGACTTAATGGCCTAATCACCTCTTAAAGGCCCCATTTCTTAATACCATCACATTGGCCATTAAGTTTCAACACCTGAATTTTGGAGGGGACACATTCAAACCGTAGCAGCCATCAAACTTTGGTGTGCATCAGGCTCACCTGGTGGGTTTGTTAAAACATAGATTGTTGGGCCCTATCCCCCAGTCTGGAGTGGGGTCTGAGAATATGCATTTCTAACAAGTTCTCTGGTGATGCTGACAATGCTGGTTCAGGAACCATACTTTAAGAACCACCGTGGCCACAGTCTTTGCCATGAGAAAAGGATCAGCAGCATTGACATCACCTGGAAGCCTTTTTCGAACTTTCCCAGTCAGATCATTCATTTTCATGTTTGATAAGTGAATCATATTCTGGGTGTTAACAATTCACCAAATGATTCCTATGCACATGAAAGTTTGAGAAGCATGGGCCTATCATGAGATATTTCTTGGTCCTCATATCTGTTGAGTCAAGAATATCTAGTGCTTCATCTCTCCCTTTTTAGATACTCCTTTATCTTTCAAATATAATTTTCTCCTGGTTTTCCTTCTGTCTCTGTGACTATTTCTTCTCAATCTGCTTTTTTGTAGTCTATAGCTAAAATCCTCCATTAGGTTTTATTTTCTCCTGTTTCCACACCACATACTTGTATTGTTTAAGATTAGATTCAACAGGAAATAATAGTAAGCCCACCAAAACAATGGTTTAAACAAGATAAAAGACCATTTTTTCTCATGTCAAATGTAGGCAGTCCAGTGATGGACTGCTAAACTGCTCCACAAACCTTTTAGTCACTCAAGCTACTTCTATTCTGGTTCTTCATACTTCATAGCTTCCATTTCCAAGGTCACTGAGGTTTAAATACCACAGATATCACATGTGCACATCAGCTTCCAGGAAGGAGGAAGGGATGCACAAAAAAAGGGCAAAAGGCAGCTGCCAAATTCTAAAATCTGCCTCCTGATACATCTGATTATAATTGGCCAGAACTTAGTGATCTGGCCACAGCCAGCTGTACTGGACAGTGGAAAATGTAGTTTGGCTCAGTTAAAAAGTGAAGATATGGGGAGGCTGGCCAAGATGGCCAGCTAGAAGCAGCTAGTGTGTGCTGCTCTCACAGAGAGAAATAGAAGGGGAGAGTAAATACAGAAACTTCAACTGAAATGTTCAGGTATACACATTGGGATTTATCAAGAAAACAACTCAACCCATGGAGAATGGGGAAAAGCAAGTCAGGATGACTGCGCGCCCAGGAGTGACATGGAATGGAGCTAGGGGAGCCTCCCCCACTCAGGGAAGCAATGAGTGAGTAAGTGACCCCAGGAACCCTGCTTCACCCATGGATCTTTGCAGCTCTTGGGCCAGGAGATCCCCTTGTGATTCTACACCACCAAGGCCTGTGGTCTGATACACAGAGCTACATGGCAGAGAAGCTTCTCAGGCACATGTGGAGCTCCAGGCCTTTCAGATATCCGGGCTTCCCAGAAAAAGCAACTGCACCTCTGGCAAAGTGGGAGGTTAGACTCCTGTACATGCCCTTAGGAAAGGGGCTGAATTCAGGGGACTGAGCAGCAACACTGTGCAGGCCCTGCTTCCGTGGCATCTTGCAGGATAAGACTCTGGCTTGGAACTGCAGCCAGCCACTGGTAGTGGCAGCATTACACCTACCTGAGACAGCTCCCAGAGGGAGGGGTGGGCCACCATCTTTGCTGTTTTGTAGCCTTAGGTATTGTTGCCTTCAGTGAAGCTGCCCTATGGAAAAGTGGCCAGACTGCTTTTTTACACTGGTTCCTAACCCTGCTTCTCCTCACTGGGCAGGATCTCCCAGCTGGGGTCACCAGCCACATTTGCCAGTGTTTTCCAGCTGGCAGTGGTTCTGAGCCTCCCTGGAACAGAGCTCCCAGGGGGAGGGATGGAGCGACATCTTTGCTGTTTCACAACCTTAGCAGTTGTTGCCATAGGGCTCTAGGGAGTCCAAGGCAACAAAAGACTAGAGTGGTCCCCTGGCACAGCACAGAGGTTCTACAGAGAAACAGCCACACAGCATTTTCACATGAGTCCCAGATCCTGCTTCTCTTCACTGGGCAGAATCTCCCAATTGAGGTCTGCAACCACCTCTGCTGGTGTTCAGGCTGGCAACAGGTCTGTACCTCCTTGGGATGGAGCTCCCAGATGGAGGGGCAGGCCACTGTCTTTGCTTTTTGACAGCCTTTACTGTTGATACCTTCAGGTGCTGGAAATCCGAGGTGACTAGGGACTGGAGCAGACCTCCAGCACACTGGAGTAGCCTTATGGAAAAGTGGCCAGACTGTTATGTGGGTCCCTGATCCCATATCTCCTCACTGGGAAAGTCCTTCTGGCCTGGGTCTATAGCCACCCCACACTGGGGCTATCAAGCCGGTAGCAGCTCTGCAACTCCCTGGGTCAGAGCACCCAGTGGGAGGGGGGGTTTGCCATCTTTGCTGTCTCACAGCCCTCACTCTGGCTGTCTTCAGGCTCTGAAAAGTCTCCCACGGACTATGTTAAAACATAGATTGCTGGGCCCTATCCTCCAGTCTGAAGTGGGGTCTGAGAATATGCATTTCTAACAAGTTCTCTGGTGATGCTGACAATGCTGGTTCAGGAACCATACTTTAAGAACCACTGTGGCCATAGTCTTTGCCATGACAAAAGGATCAGCAACATTGACATCACCTGGAAGCCTTTTTCGAACTTTCCCAGTCAGATCATTCATTTTCATGATTGATAAATGAATCATATTCTGGGTGTCAACAATTCACCAGATGATTCCTATGCATATTAATGTTTGAGTCCCCCATGGACTCTCCAGAGCTGTGATCCCCAGCACAAAGCACCCACCTTGTGAAAAAGTGGCTGGACTGTTCTCCACACAGGCTGGTCTTCACTTCTTCTCACAGGGCAGGACCACCAGACCTGGGACTCCAGCACAACCACCTTGCCCCCATCTGACCCCTTCAATCAGAGGCAGCCCAGCATTTAAAGGAGCACCTACACACAGAGATGAGAAAGAACTGATGCAATAATTCTGGCAACTCAAATGGCCAGAGTGTCTTATGTCCTCCATACAACTGCTGTAGTTCTCCAACAAGGGATCTTAACCAGGCTGAGTTGGTTGACATGACAGAACTAGAATTCAGAATATGCATAAGAGCAAATATAATCAAGATTCAGGAGAACAGCAAAACCCAATCCAAGTCACAATAAAATGATACAGGAGCTGACAGATGAAATAGCCAGTATAAGTAATAAACTAACTGCTCTGATAGAGCTGAAAAACACACTGCAAGAGTTTCATAATGCAGTTGCAAATATCAAGGGCAGAATAGATCAAGCTGAGCAAAGAACCTCAGAACTTAAAGACTGGCTCTGTGAAATGAGACCGTCAGACAAAAATTTAAAAAAATGAATGAAAAGGAAGGAACAAAACCTCTGAGAAATGTGGGACTTTGTAAAGAGGCCAAATCTACAAATCATTGACATCTCTGAAAGGGACAGGGAGAAAACAAGCAACTTGGAAAACATATTTCAGAATATCATCCATGAAAACCTCCTCAACCTCGCCAGAGAGGCTAACAGTCAAATTCAGGAAATACAGAGGAACCCTGCAAGATTTAACACAAGAAGATCATCCCCAGGACACATAATTGTTAGATTTTCCAAGGTTGAAATGAAAGACAGAATGTTAAAGGCAGCTAGAGACAAAGGGCAGGTTTCCTACAAAAGGAACCCCATCAGGCTAACAGCAGACCTTTCAGCAGAAACCCTACAAGCCGGAAGAGATTGAGTTCCTATATTCAGTATTCTTAAAGAAAAGGAATCTTCAATCAAGAATTTCATAGCCAGCCAAACTAAGCTTCCTCAGCAAGGGAAAAATAAGATCCTTTTCAGATAAGCAAATGCTGAGGGAGTTTATTACCACCAAATCTTACAAGAGATCTTGAAAGCAGCATTAAATATGGAAAGAAAACACCATAACCACCCAATACAAAAACACACTTAAGTCCACAGACCAGTGACATTATGTAGCAACCACACTAACAAGCTGGTATAATAACCAGCTAACAACACAAAGACAGGATCAAACCCACACATATCAGTACTAACCTTGAATGTAAACAGGCTAAATGCCTCATTTAAAAGGCATGGAGTGGCAAGCTGGATAAACAAAACCAAGACCCAAAGGTATGCTGTCTTTAAGAGACTCATGTCACATGCAATGATACTCTTAGGTTCAAAATAAAGGGATGGAGGAAAATCTACCACACAAATGGAAATCAGACAACGGAGGTTGCAATCCTAATTTCAGACAAAACAGGGTTTAAACCAACAAAGAT
The DNA here is from genome assembly GCF_000001405.40 of Homo sapiens. Classification (NCBI taxonomy): domain Eukaryota; kingdom Metazoa; phylum Chordata; class Mammalia; order Primates; family Hominidae; genus Homo; species Homo sapiens. Next base: position 45,162,837 of record NC_000012.12, on the reverse strand, counting down.
AAAAAAAAAAACAAAGGCGAGTATTACATAATGGTGAAGGGTTCAATTCAACAAGAAGACCTGACTATCCTAAATATATATGGACCCAACACAGGAGCACCCAGATTCATAGAGCGAGCTTTACCTACAAAGAGACTTAGTGGGAGACTTCAGCACTCCACTGACAGTATCAGACAGATCATTGAGGCAGAAAATTAACAAAGATATTCAGGACCTGAACTCAACATTGAACCAAATTAATCTGATAGACATCTATAGAACTCATTACAATCTAACATCACAACGAAAAGAACTAAAGAAGCGAGAGCAAACCAACCCCAAAGCTAGCAGAAGAGAAGAGATAACCAAAATCAGAGCTGACTTGAAGGAGATCAAGACACAAAAAAAATCATCCAAAAGATCAACAAATCCAGGAGTCGTTTTTTGAAAAAAAAAAATAATAATAAGATAGGCCACTAGCAGCCGGGCATGGTGGCTCACACTTGTAATCCCAGCACTTTGGGAGGCCAAGGCGAGTGGATCACTTGAGGTCAGGAGTTCGAGACCAGCCTGGCCAATATGGTGAAACCCTATCTCTACTAAAAATACAAAAATTAGCTGGGTGTGGTGGCACATGCCTGTAGTCCCAGCTACTCAGGAGGCTGAGGCAGGAGGATTGCATGAACCCAGGAGGCAGAGGTGGCAGTGAACCAAGATCGCACCACTGCACTCCAACCTGGTCAATAGAGCAAAATTCCATCTCAAAAAAAAAAAAAAAAGAAAAAGAAAAAGAAAAAAGAAAGGAAAAGATAGGCCACTAGCTAGACTAATAAAGAAGAAAAGAGAGACAATCCAAATAAACACAATTTGAAACAACAAAGGGGATGTTAACCACTGACCCCACAGAAATACAAACAACCAACAGAGACTACTACAAATACCTCTATGCACACAAACTAGAAAGACTTAGAAGAGATAGATAAATTCCTGGACACATATACCCTCCCAAAACTGAACCAGGAAGAAATTGATTCCCTAAACAGACCAATAATGAGCTCTGAAATTGAATCAGTAATAGCCTACCAACCAAAAAAAAAAAAAAAAAAAACCTGAAGATCAGACAGATTCACAGCCAAATTTTATCAGATATACAAAGAGCTGGTACCATTCCTACTAAAACTATTCCAAAAATTTGAGGTGAAGGGGCTCCTTCCCAATTCATTCTAGGAGGCTAGCATCATTCTGATACCAAAACCTGACAGAGACACAACAAAAAAACTTCAGGCCAATATCCTTGGGGAACATCGATGACAAAATCCTCAACAAAATAACTACAAACTGAATCCAGCAGCATGTCAAAAAGCTAATCTACCATGATCAATAGGCTTTATCCCTGGGATTCAAGGTTGGATCAACATATGCAAATTAATAAAGGTGATTCATCACATAAACAGAACTGAAGACAAAAACCACATGATTATTTCAATAGATGCAGAAAAGGCTTTTGATAAAATTCAATATCCCTTCAAGATAAAAATTCTCAATAAACTAGGTATGGAAGGACCACACCTCAAAATAATAAGAGCCGTCTATGAAAAACCCACAATCAACATCATACTGAATGGGCAAAAACTGAAAACATTCCCCGTTGAAAACTGGCATAAGGCAAGGATGCCCTCTCTCACCATTCCTATTCAACATAATGTTGGAAGTCCTGGCCAGAGCAATGAGGCAAGAGAAAGAAATAAAGGGCATCCCAATAGGAAGAGAGGAAGTCAAACTATCCCTGTTTGTAGACAATATGATTCTATACCTAGAAAACCCCATAGTCTCAGCCCAAAAGCTCCTTCAGCTGATAAACAACTTCAGCAAAGTTTCAGGATACAAAATCAATGTGCAAAAAATCACTAACATTCCTATACACTGACAATAGCCAAGCCAAAAGCCAAATCAGGAATGTAATCTCATTCACAATTGTCACAAAGAGAACAGAATACCTAGGAATACAGCTAACCAGGGAGGTGAAGGATCTCTACAATGAGAACTATGAAACACTGCCCAAAGAAATCAGAGATGACATAAATGGAAAAATATTCCATGCTCATGGATAGGAAGAATCAATATCATTAAAATGGCCATACTGCCTAAAACAATTTACAGATTCAGTGCTATTCCTATTAAACTACCATTGACATTCTTCATAAATCTAGAAAAAAACTATTTTTAAATTTATGTGGAACCAAAAAAGGGCCCGAATAGCCAAGGCAATGCTAAGCAAAAAGAGCAAAGCTGAAGGCATCATGCTACCTGACTTTAAACTATACTACAGGGCTACAGTAACCAAAACTTCTTGGACAGCATGGTACTGGTACAAAAGCACACGCTAGACCAATGGAACAGAATAGTGAGCCCAGAAATAAGGCTGCACACCTAAAACCATTTGATCTTTGACAAAGCCGACAAAAGGAAGCAATGGGTAAAGTACTCCCTATTCAATAAATGGTGCCGGGATAACTGGCTAGCCATATTCAGAAGACTGAAACTGGACCCCTTCCTTACACCATATACGAAAATCAACTCAGTGTGGATTAAATACTTAAATGTAAAACCCCAAACTATAAAAACCCTGGAAGACAACTTAGGCAATGTTATTCTGGACATACTAACTGGCAAAGATTTCTTGACAAAGATACCAAAAGCAATTGCAACAAAAGCAGACATTGACAAATAGGATCTAATTAAACTACAGAGCTTCTGCACAGAAAAAGAAACTATCAACAGAGTAAACAAACAACCTACAGAATAGGAGAAAATATTTGCAAGCTGTGCATCTGACAAAGGTCTAATATCCAGCATCTATAAGAAACTTATGCAAACTTACAAGAGAAAAACAACCCCATTAAAATGTGGGCAAAGGACATGAACCCTTGTCAAAAGAAGACATACATGTGGCCAACCAACATATGTAAAATGCTCAACATCACTAATCACTAGAGAAATGCAAATCAAAACGACAGTGAGATGCAATCTCACACCAGTCATAATGGCTATTATTAAAAAGTCAAAAAATAACATGTTAGCGAGGTCGCAGAGAAAAGGGAATGCTTACACACTTTTGGTGGGAGTGTAAATTAGTTCAGCCACAGTGGAAAGCGATGTGGTGATTCCTCAAAGAGCTAAAAACAGAATTACTATTTGACACAGCAATCCCATTACTGGGTATATACCCAAAGGAATATAAACTGTTCTACCAGAAAGACACATGCACGTGTATGTTCATTGCAGCACTATTTAAAATAGCAAAGATAGAATCAACCTGAATGCCTATCAATGGCAGACTGGATTTTTAAAATGTGGTGCATATACACCAGGGGTCCCCAAATGCCAGGGGTCCATGGCTTGTTAGGGATGGGGCTGCACAGCAGGAGGTGAGCGGCAGGTGAGCAAGCATTACTGCCTGAGCTCCACCTCTTGTCAGATTAACGGCAGCATTAGATTCTCACAGGAACTTCAACCCTATTGTGAAGTGCATATGTGAGGGATCTAGGTTGCATGCCCTTTAACCACCCTGCCACCTCCCATTTCCCCCATCATCCCCCCACCCCTCTGTTGGTGGAAAAAGTGTCTTTCACAAAACAAGTCCCTGGAGCCAAAAATGTTGAGGATTGCTGGTATATACCATGGAATACTATGCATCCATAAAAGATGATGAGATCATGTCCGTTGCAGGAACATGGATGGAGCTGGAGGCCATTATCCTTAGTAAACTAATGCAGAAACAGAAAACCAAATACTGTATGTTCTCACCAGTGGGAACTGGATAATGAGAACACATGGACACAAAGAGGAGAACAACAGACACCAGGTCCTACTTGATGGTGAAGGGTGGGAGGAGGGAGAGGATCAGAAAAAATAACTGTTGGGAACTAGGCTTAGTACCTGGGTGACAAAATAGTCCATACAAAAAAACCCCATGACACGAGTTTACTTATATAACACACCTGCACATGTACCCTTCAATCTAAAATCAAAAAAATTAAAAAGTGACAATATGACTTACTATGTAAGAAGGTCAACTAGCAGTCTGCCATAATCTGCTGCATGTTTTATAATATATCCGTGTATCATCCATCTTTACGTAGAATACAGTCAACTCTCCTCAAGGGAGGTAGATTAGTTTTCTAGGGATGTCATAATAAACTAGCATAAGCTGGATGGCTAAAACAACAGAAGTTATTGACTCACAGTTCTGGGGGCTAGAGTTCCAAGATCAATGTGTTGGCAGGGTTGTTTCCTCTTTCTTTGACTTAGAGTGGCTGTCTGTATAGTGGATATATACACAAAGGGGTGTACACCCCCTGCGATGTTGGGAGTAATATCATCCTCTCCACCCCTGAATATTAGGATAAATATCACAGAAAGGTGTACACCCCCTGCGATACTGGAAGTAATGTCATCCTCTCCCCCAGTGAAAATTCAGAACAATATCGTAGAAGGGGTGTACGCCCCCTGCGATATTGGGAGTAATATCCTCTTCCGCCCTGGACATTAGAAACCATAACACAGGGAAGGTATACACCTCTGCAGTACTGTGAGTAATGCCATATTCTTTCCCACTGGATATTAGAAAAAATATCACAGGGGGTGTGTAGACCCCCTGTGATATTGGGAGTAATATCATCCTCTCCCCACCTGAATATTAGGAACAAAATCACAGGGTGGGTGTACATGTCCTGCCATATTATGAGTAATATCATGATCTCCCCTTCTGGACATTAGGAAAAATATCACAGAAGTGGTGTACACTTCCTGCAATACTGGGAGTAATATTATCCTCTCACCCCCTGGATATTAGAAGCAATAACACAAGGGGTGTGTATACACTTTGTGATATTGTGAGTAATATCCTCTTCCCCCATGGATTTTAGAAAGTATATCACAGGGGCGGTGTATACCCTCTGCGATATTGGGAGTAATATCATCCCCTCCTTCCCTGAATATTAGGAACCATATCACTGGGGGTAGGATGTACATTCCCTGCGATATTGGGAGTAATATCATTCTCTACGTGGATATTAGGAACAATATCACGCGGTGGGGGGATGTACAGCCTCTGCGACATTGGGAGTAATATCGGCTCCCATCTTGGATAATAGGAACAATATCACAAAGGGGGTATACACCCCCTAAGATATTGAAAGCAATATCATCAATACACTCCCCAACTGGATATTAAGAACATTATCACAAGGGAGGTGAACACCACCAGTGATATTGGGAGTGATATCATTCTCTCTTCCTCTAAATGTTAAGAACAGTATCACAAGGGGGGTGCACACCCCCTGTGATATAGGGAGTAATATTTTCTCCCCCCTTGGATATTAGAAATAATATCACAAAGGGGGTGTACACCTGCTGCGATATTGGGAGTAATATCCTATTCCCCCATGGATATTAGGAACAATATCACAAGGTTGGTGTACACCCCCTGTGATACTGGAAGTAATATCTTCTTCTCCACCCCTGGATATTAGAAACAATATCACGGTGGGGGGCGGGGTTGGTGTACAGCCTCTGTGATATTGGGAGTAATATCATCCTTTTCCTCCCTGGGTATTACAAACAATATCACAGGAAGGTGTACACACCCCCCCCCCCCCCGCGATATTGGTAGGAATATCATCGTCTTTTCCAGTGGATATTAGGAACAATATCATAGGGTGAGTGTACAACCCCTGCAATATTTGGAGTAATATCATTCTCTCCCCTCGTGGATATTAGGAACAGTATTACCGGAAGATGTACACGTCCTGCGATATTGGGAGTAATATTATCGTCTCCCCCCTGAATATTAGAAATAATATCGCAGGGAAGATGTACAGCACCAGCGATATTGGGAGCAATATTGTCCTCTCTTTTCATAGATATTAGGAACAGTATCACAGCGGGGTTGTACACCGCCTGCGATATTGAATGTAATATCATCCTCTCCCCGCGCTGGGTATTAGGAACAATATCACAGGGGAGATGTACAACCCCTGCAATATTAGGAGTAATATCATCCTCTGCCCCCCTGGATATTAAGAACAATATCACAGAAAAGGTGTACATTCACTGTGATATTGGGAGTAATGTTATCCTCTCACCCCCTGGATATTGGGAGCTGTATCACAGGGTGGTCGTACACACCCTGCGATAGTGGGAGTAATATCATCCTATCCCCCTTTGGATATTAGGAACAATGTCACAGGGGGTGTGTACACTCACTGCAATATAGGGAGTAATGTCATCCTCTTTACCCTTGGATATTAGGTACAATATCACAGAGGGTGCACACCCCTCTGCGATATTGAGAGTAATATCATCCTCTTTCCCCCTGTCTATTAGAAAAAACAATATCACAGGGGGAGTGTACCCCTTTTGCGATATTGACAGTAATATCACCATCTCTTCCCCTGGATATTAGGAACAATATCACAAGGAAGGTGTACACTCACTGTGATACTGAAAGTAATATTATCCTGTCCTCTCGTGATATTAGGAACAATGTCACTGGGTGAGGTGTAATATCATCCTCTCCTCCCCTGGATATTTGGAACGATATCACGGGGGTGGTGTATATCCCCTGCGATATAGGGAGTAATATCATCCTTTTCTTCCTTAGGTATTAGGAACAATATTACAGGGGGGCTGTACACTTCCTGCGGTATTAGGAGTAATATTATCCTCTCCCCTTCTAGATATTAGGAACAATATCACAGAAGGGATGTACACATGCTGTGATATTGGGAGTAAAATCATTCTCTCCCCCCCTGAATATTAGGAACAATATCAACGAAGGGGTGTACACCCCCTGCAATATTGGGAGTAATACCATTCTCTCCCCTTCTGAATATTAGCAACAATATCACAGGGGGTTATACACCCCTTGCAATATTGGGAGTAATATCATCCTCTCCCCACCTGGATATTAGGAACAATATCACAGGAAGGTGTACACCCACTGCGATTTGGGGAGTAATATCATCTTTTTCCTTCCTGGATATTACGAAAAATATCAGCGGTGAAGTGTACACCCACTGCGATATTGGAAGGACAATCATCCTCTTTCCCCTGGATATTACGAACAAGATCACATGGGGGGGTGGGGGTGTACACACTCTGCGATATTGAAAGTAATATCATCCTTTTTGCTTTTGGATATTAGAATCAATATCACAGAAGGGTGTATAACCTCTCCCCGCCGGATATTACAAACAATACCACCAGGGGAATGTACATCCTCTGCGATATTGGGAGTAATATCATCCTCTCCCCCGCCCTTGGATATTATGAACAATATCACAGAGGGGTGTACTCCTCTGCGATATTGGGAATAATATTATCCTCTCCTCCCCTGGATATTACGAACAATACCATAGGGGGTGTACACAATACACAAACAATTACAACAATGTTACAGAGTCGTGTACACCTCCTGCGATATTGAGAGTAAATTAATCCTCCTTCCCCCTGGATATTACCAACAATATCATGGTGGGTGGGGGGGTGAACACACTCTGCGATATTAGGAGTAATATTATTCTCTCCACTTATGGATATTAGGAACAATATCACAGAAGAGGTGTACACTTGCCGCGATGTTGGGAATAGTATCATTCTCTCCCCCCCACCCTGGATATTAGGAACAATATCATAGAGGTGGTATACACCCCATGCGATATTGGGAGTAATATCATCCTCTCCCCCCTCCACCCCCAGATATTAAGACTATCACAGGGGGAGGTACACCCCCAATGATATTGGAGTGTACACCCCCCATGATATTGGGAGTAATATTACTCTCTCTCCTTCTGGATATTACGAACAGTACCACAAAAGGGTGTACACCTCCTTTGATATTGAGAGTAATTTCATCCTCTCCCCCCCACCCCGGATATTAGGAAGAATATCACAGGAGGGTGTACTACCCCTGCGATATTGGGAGTAATATCATCCTCTTTCCCCCTGGATATTATGAAAAACATCACCGGGGGGTTTACACCATCTGCGATGTTGGGAGTAATATCATCCTTTCGGTCCCTGGATATTACCAACAATATCACAGTGTGGTGTACAACCCTTGCGATATTAGGAATAATATAATCCTCTCTTCCTTCGGATATTACGAACAATATCGCAGGGGCGTGTACACCCCCTTTGATGTTTGGAGTAATATCATCGTTTCTGTCACTGGTATTATGAACAATATCACAGAAGGATATACACCTCCTGTGATATTGGGAGTAATATCCTCTCCCCCACTGAATATTATGAACAGTATCTCGGTGGCGGGGGGGGTTACACTTCCTGGGAAAATGGAAGTAATATCATCCTCTCCCACCCTGGGTATTACGAATACTCTCACAGGGAGGTGTACACCCCTGCGATATTGGGAGTAATATTCTCTCTTCCACTGGATATTAGGAACTATATCACAAGGGGATGTACACCCCCTGCAATATTAAAAATAATATCATCCTCTTCCTCCCTGAATATTATGAACAATATCATAGACGGGTGTACATCCCCTGTGCTTATATCCAACTGTTCAATCCCATCTCGTGTCACTCTGCTCTATGCCTTTTTCACTTCAATCATTCTGGGTATTTGTTTATTTACTGTTTAAACCTCAGTTTGTTTACATCTGGGCTTTCAAACAAAGTTTTTCTTCCTCCTATATTACTCTTTTCTTTTCTCTACAACTCATCATTTAAGTATCGTCTAGGATGCCCTTCCTTCAGGATTTCCTTCCTCAGCCCTCCAGACTGGGTGATATCCCCTGGTACACACTCTTGTAGAGCCCTGTGCTTCCTTTTTCATACCATGTGTTCAGCAAATATTTATTGATGTGGGCACCATTATATGAATGGGAGATGCAGCAGTGAAGGCAACAGACAAAAATCTCCACCCTTATAGAGCTCTGTTTGGAAGGCAAAACATTACCACTTCTCTCTTTGGGGCTTAAGATTGGTCTGAGAATTCCCTGTTTAATAAACGGTGCTGGGAAAACTGGCTAACCATATGTAGAAAGCTGAAACTGGATCCCTTCCTTACACCTTATACAAAAATTAATTTGAGATAGATTAAAGACTTACATATTAGGCCTAAAACCATAAAAACCCTAGAAGAAAACCTAGGCAATACCATTGAGGACATAGGCACGGGCAAGGACTTCATGTCTAAAACACCAAAAGCAATGGCAACAAAAGCCAAAATTGACAAATGGGATCTAATTAAACTAAAGAGCTTCTGCACAGCAAAAGAAACTACCATCAGAGTGAACAGGCAACATACAGAATGGGAGAAAATTTTTGCAACCTACTCATCTGACAAAGGCTAATATCCAGAATCTACAATGAACTCAAACAAATTTACAAGAAAAAAACAAACAACCCCATCAAAAAGTGGGTGAAGGATATGAACAGACACTTCTCAAAAGAAGACATTTATGCAGCCAAAAAACACATGAAAAAATGCTCATCATCACTGGCCATCAGAGAAATGCAAATCAAAACCACAATGAGATACCATCTCACACCAGTTAGAATGGCGATCATTAAAAAGTCAGGAAACAACAGGTGCTGGAGAGGACGTGGAGAAATAGGAACACTTTTACACTGTTGGTGGGACTGTAAACTAGTTCAACCATTGTGGAAGTCAGTGTGGGGATTCCTCAGGGATCTAGAACTAGAAATACCATTTGACCCAGCCATCCCATTACTGGGTATATACCCAAAGGACTATAAATCATGCTGCTATGAAGACACATGCACATGTTATGTTTATTGCGACACTATTCACAATAGCAAAGACTTGGAACCAACCCAAATGTCCAACAATGATAGACTGGATTAAGAAAATGTGGCACATATACACCATGGAATACTATGCAGCCATAAAAAATGATGAGTTCATGTCCTTTGTAGGGACATGGATGAAGCTGAAACCATCATTCTCAGCAAACTATTGCAAAGACAAAAAACCAAACGCCGCATGTTCTCACTCATAGGTGGGAATTGAACAATGAGAACACATGGACACAGGAAGGGGAACATTACACACCGGGAACTGTTGTGGGGTAGGGGGAGCGGGGAGGGATAGCATTAGGAGATATACCTAATGCTGAATGATGAGTTAATGGGTGCAGCACACCAACATGGCACATGTATACATATGTAACAAACCTGCATGTTGTGCACGTGTACCCTAAAACTTAAAGTATAATAATAGTAAAATTTAAAAAAAAGATTGGCCTGAGAATTAAATTGGCATGAGACAGATTAACAGAAAAAACACACACATTTATTTAATGTACATTTTACATGACATGGGAGCCCTCATAAGGAAATGAAGACTCAAAGAGGTGACAAAATCCAAGTGCTTTTATATTAGGTAGCAAAGAGAGGTGATTGTGGAAAAGTAGTTAAAATGTATGGGGAGCCTAAAGAAAGATAAACATTATTTTAACAAGGTCTGTTCATACAGAATTCTTTCAGTCTCACTTACTGTCCTTAATTATAAGAATGTTTATTTTCTCCTGGTATAAGGGGGGCATATCTCACATGGGAATCTCATCTTCTGATTTTAGGAAAAGGAAGGGGGACTCAAAATGTCCTTCTTGCATATGCTGTTTTTCAAGTACCTTTAACTCAAAACAGTCAATATGCCAGGATGGCTTATTTAGGGTGGTGTGTTCTGAACTCCTTCAGCTTACACTCATCATACTTGGAGTCAATTGTTTACTTTTTGTATCATCTGTTAGACTGAGCTTCGTGAGAGCAGGGAACGTATCTATCTTATTTACCATTTCGTATCCCTCCACCTAGTATTGCAGCCTGACACATCGTAGGTGTTTAGTGAATATTTGTCAAATAAATGAATGTTATAAGAGGTTGGAGGTTCACTCGGACTGGTGATATCTATAACCTGGGGTTTTGAAAATGCCTCAGCAGAGAGTTTTGGCATGGCCACTGGCACAGAACTAATCATCAAACTTGGGAAGCTACAAAACCTGCTAGAAATTATGATTTATCTAAAAACGTGGCTTGACCTGTAAGGTGGACACATTTCAGGCTTTCTAAGCCAAATACTAATTTTAAATTTTTTTTATTTTAATGTTGAAGAGAGTAGGATGGATCAACAACAAAAGCACCACAGCCCTAGTGAGTCGATGGAAGCTTTGGCTGGCCTCCATAAATGCTTATTGTAGAGAGCGTTTTAAAAGCAATCTTACGTTTGTTTGAATGCTTACATTTGCAGAATGCTTAGAATGTTGATTTGTTTTATCTCTATATCTATTAGAATGAGAGAACAGAACTAAGGGGGAAAACCAATTTTACTTTCAAAAATGTATTATTCTGCAAATTAGTTTTAAAACTACAAATAAATACTGGTTTGGAATGAGAAGTTTGAAAGAATGAAGAACTCTTCACTTCTAGACTGTAAATTCCTTTAGGACAGGGTCTGTACCACATTCATCTTTGAATCCTCAGAACTGAGCATGGATCCTGACAATAATAATTATCCAGAAGTATTGTTTTTAAAAATTTATTTTAATTAGTTTATTTTTCTAGAGATGGTGTCTCGCTACATTGCATGACCTGAAGTGCAGTGGCTATTCATAGGTGCAATTGTAGTGTTCTATAGCCTTGAACTCCTGAGCTCAAGAAATCCTCCTGCCTCAGCCTCCTGAGTATCTAGGACTACAGGTGTGGGCCACCATGCCCAGCTCATATTGTTTTTTTTTTTTTTAATCATGAATTAAGAAATCAGTCTCCTGAGTAAGAAAAACATCAAATAGCTTATTTTAGTAAAGAGAACAAAAATAACTAATTAGCTAAAGCTTTCATTTTTATAGATTATATTGATATTGTATATATAACCAGGAAAAGTCAGCCAAAATAAAATGAAAAAATTTTAATTAGATTGCATTATAATATATATTTACAGCTTGCCTGCCTCTGTAAGAAAATCATGCAATAAAATAAAGCATACGAAACAAAACCATAAAAGGGAAACTAGAGAAGAAAATTACATTAAGAAAACATCCTTGAGAAAAGTCATAGCACTTTAACATGACACTTGGCTCTGAGTTTCCTGTAAGCCACCGTGAAGAGGAAAACATGATGAAATACACACTTCTTATTGTCCAATAGAAGGAAAGATTGTAGTTCAACAGAAGAGACAAACTTTTTCCTGGCCCTGAGATAATTTATCATATCTGTACTTATATAGATGACATGGAGAAAATAGAAACAGGATCCTGAATGTCAATTTTACAAATAAAGATGAAAGACAAAATATATGTGAGACCGTTTCTGTTTTCAGGAGTGAGTGAGAGATGAGGACATAACATTCAGTCATGGCGCTACAAAAGCTGTTTCCTAAAGGTAAGATGGAGTAGTTTTGTTTCTTTGGAATGATACAATGTAAAACTTGGAGAGGATTAAGAACCAAATATTGGCCAGGCATGGCAGCATGTCCCTATAATCCCTGCACTTTGGGAGGCTGAGGAGGGAGAATCACTTGAGGCCAAGAGTTCAAGACCAGTCTGGGCAACATAGCAAGACCCTGCCTCTCAATTAAAAAATTAGCCAGGCTTGGTGACACACTCCTGTAATTCCAGCTACTCAGGAGGCTGAGGCAGGAGGATCCCTTAAGCCCAGGATTAGGAGGCTGCAGTGAGCTATGGTTGCACCACTGCAACCATAGCCTGGGAGATAGAGTGAGATCCTGCTGCTTAAAAGGAAACACAATATTTTGTATCTTCCTTGGTTGTGTGTATCTTGAAGTACTAGGGCCAGTCAAGATGCATCAGAAGCTAGGGGTGGGGTGGTACATGAGTTTGTAGAGGCTTGGAGGGTATAGGGAGAAATAGGCCATGGGGAAGAGCTCTGAGCCTTCATCTCTACTCCTGCCTCTGCTCCAACCAGTGATGTTTCTCTCTTCCAGGTTTTAAATTTTCAGGTCCTTGTAAGATTTCCTTTGAAAGGAAAGGTCTGCTGGAAGATGGACAAATCTGCAGTATTAGACACGTTTATTGATGAAGCTTTCCCTGACCACCCTATTTAAAAAGCACCCACCTGTCCTGGTCCAGCACTCCTTATCTGCTTTCCCTGCTTTGTTTTTCTCAACAAAGCTTATCAACATTCAATTTACTATATAATTTACTTCCTTATTTTGTGTATGGGTCAGGGTTAGAGCAGGAAACAGTACCCTCGAACTGGATGACTTGGGACAGTGTAATAAAAGAGTGGTTAACAAAGGTGTGGGCAAGGTTTAGGGAAGCTTCAGAGGGCTGCTGTAATGTGATGGGACCAGCAACCATGGTGGTGGTGCTGGTGGGAGCCATTGCCACCCCAAGGCCTATAGGGTCAAAGTGAGAGAACAGTTACCAGGACAGAGAGAGGCACCTAGAAAGGATAGCAATGTGGAGCGGGCTGCCTCTGGGAGAAGGATGCAGCCATCCCTTGATGAGTCAACTCAACTTGTCAACTCCTCTTGTTCTCTGATCTCTTGCAAGTTCCTCCCATTGGCTAAATCTACCTGGAGGCAGAAGAGAAAGTGAGCTTATGGATGCAGTCTATACAGATGGGCCTCGCAGGGCACAGATCAGAGTGGAGAGTGGACCAGGAGGTGGAAACAGACGATGTCTTCTATATTTCATTTGTCTTTTTCCTCCCACTAAAACATAAGTTCTATGAAGGATGGGATTTCTTTTTTTTTAGATGCGGTCTCGCTCTTGTTGCCCAGGCTAGAGTGTGGTGGCACAGTCATAGTTCACTGCACCCTCAAACTCCTGGGCTCAAACAATCCTCCCACCTCGGCTTCCCAAAGCACTGGGATTACAGGTTATCTGCTTCCATCTCTTGCATACCTTGTGCTTGGATGAGTGCCTGACTCAGAGTTGGCGCTCGGTAAATAGTTCTTCAGTAAAGGAATATCAGTTGTTTTCATGTGAGTTTCAAAACTCAACTACAGTAGTGTAGTCACCACAGTCTATTTATATCACCACAGGAGATACTTTTTAAATTTGTTCTGTCTCCCTGATTTATATGAGTAATGGTTAACACTCTCTTCTCTCTCTCTTTCTCTCTCTCTCTCTCTATATATATATACACACATACATATATATACTTATATATGTATGTATGTATATAGTTTGTGTGTGTGCTTGTAGCCACCAAATTAGTGTATATAAAATTATTATATTATTATATTATTAGTTCTTTTGAAATGGTCTTCAGCTAGATTTTGAGTAACCATATTTAGAAGAAAAACCTCCTACACAGGTATTTTCTGTTTATTAACATAATTCAAGTCATTAAATCATCTTTATTTCACATGTCTCTCATGCTGCCAAGGACAGCATTATCTTCTTAAGTCCTATGCCTTTCAATACAGAAATAATCATAGCATAAAACATCAAGTACAACATTTATCCTATTAAACTCTTAAAGATTTATCACAGAAACAGCTGTTTTGAACACCTTTCTGCTAGGGCAAAAAACAAAAAATAAAAACAAAGGTCAGTGATTTATTTGAATGGACAGATGGGTCATAGTGTATTCCTTCACAGTGATCTAATTTGGTCTCTGACAGGCTGTAAAAAGAAGTGACTCAGAATACAATGTCCTTCATTGACAGAAATGTGGGGCTCCAGGGGATGGGCTTCTCTACCTACCCTGCCCCAGGGGCTGGGCAAGTGATGAGGTCTCCCTCTTTAGATACAAATATCAGACAGTCTGGGAATTATAAAGACCAGGAGCAACACCTTGATTCACCTCGGAGTCTCTAGGAAACCAGTGCCATCTGTCAGTGTCAGAGAGGCTCAATTCAACATGGCAGGCATGGCTGAGAAAATGAGCAGGTGTCTGCTGCCCTGGCAGAATCTGCGGAAGAGTCTTGAGACTGGGGCTCCATAGACGGCACTCCCTCTAAGGCAATTTGGGAATATCATGACAGGTCTATATCGAAGTGAGTGTGGTAGATTGTATTATTGTTCTAAATGTGTGCTGCCTCTCGATGGGGTACTGCCTCTCGTTGGGGTACTGCTCCCCAAAGGAGGATTTCACATTCTCTCTCTGTTGATATCAGGAATGATCATGTGACTTGTGTTGTTGGTTAAGTGGGGACAGATGTTTCTGTTCTGCGTGCTTCATTTTGTTACTGAAACACCAGGGGTTTGATCTAGGTCCTGCTGCTTGCCTCACAGAAAGCCAATCACTGAGACAATGAGTATTGTCAGGGAAGAAGGTTTTGAGTGCTGCAGCCAAGGAGATGGAAGAGCACTCTAAAATACATCTCCCTGACTAACTAAGATCAGGGGTTTATATAGCAGGAGATAAATGTAATTACATGTAGGGAAACAAGGATTAAGGAGGGGTAAGAAAGAGGAGTTGGTCAACAGGAAACAGGTAGTTGGTTAGGTGATCATGACGGTGAGGTGTCTGGTGTCTCATTGTCCAGATGTGGTGATCTGGTGAGTTTCAGTTCCCTGATACTATCTGGGAGGCCTGATGGTTGGTTTCCTGAGAAAGGAACTCAGATAAGACAATTGTAACTTTCTCAAATTTGAAGGCTGGGAGGGTCAATTTCTATGTTTGTTCAAAAGAAACCATAAACATTAGTTTGATGGAACAATTGTCCAGTTTCAATTTGCCTCTGCCAAAGACAATGTTCCTCAGGGAGTCTGTTTTATTAGCTGAGGTCCTGAAGTAAAGACACATGCCCACCCACAATGAACATATAATATGAATGAGAAATAAACCTCTATCGTTGTAAGACACTGAGATTTTGGGGGTCAGTTGTTGCCACAGCATAATTTTGGCTATGCTGACTGATACAAGGAAGTCACATCTCTCTCTGTCCCTATTTGTTCATCCTCTGGCAGGTAACAGTTATCATGGGCAAATAACTTGAGGAGCTCACTAGCTGTATAAAATGATAACACAATGAAGGCTGAGGAGGATGAAGCAGGAACTGTCAGGTTAATGGAGAGTTAGCAAGACACAATCATTGCCTACCAAGAAATAATTTTAACTTGAAAGTAGCCTGAGCCAGGGTATGTTGCTTGCTTCAGAGGCTGTAGTTGGTTCCTGCTGATCATTTGAGGTTTTTGGATGATGCATTGAAAGGAGGACAGCAGGGAACTGTTACAGCAGTCTATGCCCAAGACATGGAAAGCACTAGCATGCTTGGGCCATAAGTACTGGCACAATGTAACAATAATATCTGGAATGGGCACTTCAGAAGGACAAACACTGGAAGCTGCAGGAGGTGGAAGCATTAAAAACTGTCAAGTACAGGGCAGACAGGATAACTTAATAGGTGAGCTCAGTCCTCTCCGGGGCTGATAAGTCCTATCACTCTCCCTTTCTACAGTCACTCCTCCTAAGAGACATATAAATCATATCCAATGACCTAATAAAATAATAAGATTTGTCTGAGTTCTGACAGCAGAAAATAATAGAGGACCTCAAATTCAGAGGGAGAGAAATAGGAGGCATTTTAAAACTGCTGTCTCACCAGAATAGGGGAAATCTAGAGATGGACAAAAAGTTATCCTCTATCCACAAGTTGTCAGTTTTCTGAAAATACGCACAAATCTGTGATACTTCATAGAAGATACAGAAAAGAGGTTCAGTGAGATTGCTTTTCTGCTACACATTGTCTCTGTAAGGTGCTTGAATGGTCTTTTTCTGGTATGAGATTAATTTATTGGAGATTAAACTTTCTTTCTTTCTTTCTTTCTTTCTTTCTTTCTTTCTTTCTTTCTTTCTTTCTCTCTCTCTCTTTCTTTCCTTGCTTTTTTTTTTCTTTTTTTTTTTGCATTGTGGCATGTGGAAAGAGTGGGTTTTTAAGTGAAGCCATCTAAGTTTGAATCCCAGCTCTGCTTTCTAGGCCCATGACATTGGCAAGGTACTTAATTTCCCTGAGTCAGTTTCTTCAATAGTGTTGTTACGAGCAATTCAATGAAACAATGTAGTAAGGTACTTTGCAAAGAGCCTGACACTTAAGAGCTCAATCCTTGTTGGTTTCCTTCTTTAGTCTTTTAGCAATATTTAAAGATGAGAGAGGATTTATGCTGCTAGTGTAGGTTACTCCTGGTATGTTGACTGTAAAGTGCACTTGATAATCATTATAATTAAAAGAATAGGTGACTACTGAGTATACCGATTGCTCCATTAGTTTATCTACATGACCCACGCAGTCCAGTGCTCTGTTGCCAGATATGATGTGTTACAATGATACCTGTTGTTACTCACTAGGAGCTGGAAGTTTGTGTCACTAGTTAACATCTATCAAGTTCAATAAGTAGTTGAGTCCCTATTAGAGGCAAGGCATTGGGATAATTTAACCCACTGTCTCTGATCCCAGCTCTCCTGCCATCTTCTCTCCAGTTAATAGAAGAGAAAGTGTTGCTATTCCTGTGCTACCTGTCTTCACAATTCTATCTTTCCACACCCTTGGGGAACTTGCTTTATCAGTGATTTCTTCCTTATTGTCAGTTTCCTCCCTTCTGATGGTTCCTTCTCCTCTGTTGGGATGAGAAAAGAATAAACAATACTCAAAACACTCTTAGGAGCACTCTTACCCAGGAGTAAGCCTCAGAATACTTCAGCTCAGTGCATGAGAATGAAGCGGGGAGAAGTGTTTAGAGCAGTTATCAGGATAAATTACTGCATTCAAAGGAGCTGGGCAAGTTGGCCTCTCTTCTCCATACTGAGCAGCTGGGAGCAAGCAAGCTGGTTGCCTCCAGATTAAAGCTGTAACAATTTCTTCTTAAATAAAGTGAATTAAATTTGTGGTGTTATTAGAGGAAAAAAACCAGAGTCATCTGGAACTCTACAATAATTAGAGGGAGGAAAGAGGAAAAAGGAAAAGAGACTTCAGCATGTTCTTCTAGCATAAAATCATAATGGAGTTCAGTAAGCATTCTGACATGGGGGATACCCAGGGGGACCAAAGAAGAACAAGAACTCAAACTTTCAGTGGACCAGCCACCATTGGACTCTGCCATTTTGGAGGTTTGACTCCTGTTAAATCACAGAAGGTGAAGAGAGTTGTGACTTTTGAATGCAAGTTTAAAAATAGATCTAGTAGTGCCATTTTTCTTGACAAGTGAAGAAAATTATTGCTGCTGTGGTCTGAATGTTTGTGCACCTCCAAATATTCTCATATGTTGAAACCTAATGCTCAAGGTGATAGTATTAGGAGGTAAGGGAGGTGATTACATCATGAGGGTAGAGGCCTCATAAATGGGATGAGTGCCCTTATTAAAAACCCCAGAGAGCTGCCTCACCCCTTCCACCATGTGAAGATATCATGTGCCTCACCCCTTCCACCATGTGAAGACATCACGTGCCTTGCCCCTTCCACCATGTGAAGGAACTGCCTTGCCCTTCAACCATATGAATTCTGGAGGTACACAACATTCAGACCATAGCAGGAATAATTTTCTTCACTTGTCCAAAAAAACAGAACTACTAGATCTATTTTTAAAATTTCATCCAAATGTTACAACTCTCTCCAACTCCTGTGATTTAAGAGAGGTCCAGCCTCCAAAATGGCAGAGTACACTGGTGGCTGGTCCACTGAAAGTGAGAGTTCCCTGTTCTTCTTTGTTCTTTCTCATGGTCCCACCATGACAAGGCACCATCTATGAACCAGGAAATGGGCTGTCACTAGAGACATCTGTTAGCACCTTAATAGTGGCTTCCAAGCCTCCAGAACTATGAGAAATCAAATTCTGTTGTTTGTAACTTATACAGTTTATGGTGTTTTTTAGTTATAGCAGCCCAAATAGACCAAGACAGTTGCCATATACTACATTGTTTCCACCATTCCCATTCACATTTTGAAGCTGCAGCCCCCAATGTGATGATGGGATTTGGAAATGGGACATTAGGAAGTAATTAGATTTAGATGAGGTCATGACGGCAGGGCCCTCACAATGGAATTAGTGCACTTATAAGAAGAGACTCCAGGGAGCTTGTTTTCTCTCTCTCCACCATGGGAGAATACAAGGAGAAGGTGGCCATCTGCAAGCCAGAAAGAGACCCTTACCAGAGCCTGACCATGTTAGCACCCTGATCTCAGACTTTGATCCCCCAAAACTGTGAGAACATAAGTTTCTGTTATTTAAGTCATCCAGTCTGTGGTATTCCATTATGGCAGCCTGAGTAGACTAAGACAATGATCAAGTGGGAAAGGGTCAAGTGTTCTACCATTGTGCTATTGGCTTCATCTTATTAAAAATTCTAATATCTTATTTTTCATATTAAGTCCTAAATTAATAGGTTCAGGATATTCAAGATACTACATATATCACACAAGCCATTCAAAATAATAAACAATGGTCTTTAAAATTCATAAAATCAATTCCATCCTTTACTCAAGATAGTTTTGAGTATCCTAGATCCTTTGCATTTCCATATAGATCTAAGAATCAGTTTATCATTTACCACTCTTACTCTTTAATGGAACACTCTTGACCCACTGATCCATTTTGTTGAACTTGAGCTATAATATGAATAGCAAAATGAAAATATGGAAAATGTAAACAATGAAATATACATAGTGCAAATATGTGAATAATGTGCAAATAATGTGGACATCCGCAAATCTCCATAGGTAGAAAACACGAATAACACAGAAGTTGTCACCACTTTATTCTGGAGGCAAATGGGCTGTCTAGTATGCGGGAGAAAAAAGGTACAAATTGTCTAGCTCCTTTGGATGCAGTCCTTTAATTCAGAGGTTCCTAACTCAGGGACCAGGGACCAGTCTGTGGCCTGTTAGGAATGGGGCCGCACAGCAGGAGGTGTGTGGCTGGCAAGCGAGCATTACCACCTGAGCTCCACCTCCTGTCAGATCAGCGGAGGCTGACCGGCGCGGTGGCTCGCGCTGGTAATCCCAGCATTTTGGGAGGCCGAGGCTGGCGGATCGTCTGAGGTCAGGAGTAGGAGACCAGCCTGGCCAACATAGCGAAACCCCGTCTCTACTAAAAATACAAAAATTAGCCGGGAGTGGTGGCGTGCCCCTGTAATCCCAGCTACTCCAGAGGCTGAGGTAGGAGAATTGCTTGAACCCAGGAGGCAGAGGTTGCAGTGAGCTGAGATGGCGCCACTGCACTTCAGCCTGGGTGACAGAGCAAGACTCGGTATCAAAAAAAAAAAAAAAAAAAAGATGAGCGGAGGCATTAGATTCTCATAGGAGCTTGGACTCTATTGTGAATTGCACAACTGCACATTGGAAGGATCTAGGTTGTATACTCTGCATGAGAATCTAATCCTCCCTCCCCGGTCCATTGAAAAATGGTCTTCCATGAAACCGTCCCTGGTAGCAAAGAGGTTGGGGACTGCTGCTTTAATTAATAAAAATGTGCAAATATGCAAATAACTGAGAACTTTGTGCTATTAACTTAGTGTTAACCGAAATGAATTCATTCACTTATGTCCTTTCACTACTTGCACAAACTTTGAAAAACTCATGGTTGTTAGAATGTGATGGGATTTCTGTGAAAGTATCTTAGTCTCGGCTGCTATAACAAAATACCTTAGAATGGGTAATTCAAAAACAATAGAAATTTATTGCACACAGTTCTAGAGACTGGGATGTCCAAGATCAAGACACCCGCAGATTTGGTGTCGGTTGAGGGCCTATTCCTCATAGATGGCACCTTCACACAATGTGTCTTCGCATGGTGGAAGAGGCAAACGGCCCTTGCACTGCTTTCATAAGGCCACTAATCCCTTTTATGAGGGCTCTGCCCTTGCAACTTCATCACTTCCTAAGAGGCCCCACCTCTTAATACTATCACCCTGGCAATTAAATTTCAACATATGAATTTTGAGAGGATTCATTATTAACCTAACATTTCAAATTGGGGAAATGTATGTGAACAAAATGGTTTCAACCCCTTTTCCCCTAAAATTGTCAAACTCCTAGCAGACCATTTGTTAGATCTCTGGAGACCACCAATTCTCAATGAGCTGTAACAAACTCCAAAAGTCAAGGTGACAATGTTAATTTCAGACAAGGTAGAATTTAAGGTTGAGAAATGCTATGCTGGAAGAATAAAGATATGTAACTTTCAGCCCATTAGAGGAAATAAGTTTGAATAAAGAAAACAACATAAGCATTTTCTCATGTCATAAAAATCTCTTCAGAACCTTTCCTTTAATTGGCTGCTTAATATTCTATTGTGTTGTTGACCAGCAAACTGAATTCAAAAGTATAGCAAAAGATTTCTCCACCATAACAACACAACAGTGATTTATTATTAGGACTTTTATTGACACTATAAATCAAATCAATAGGTTCAAGGAAAAATAACAATAATGGATAACAAAAAGGCACTTTAAAAAATCAACATCAAATTCATGTTTTGCTATTTTCTTTAATAATTTTCTATAGCATGAAGATTTATGTTTCTTTGAAAATATGTAAGAACTAACTAATAAATCCTTTCAAAAGCCTTTTATTTTTAAGATAATTATTTGATAACTTGCATTTCTTGGTTGTTGATGATTATTAACCTATTCAGATTTTGTTGAGCTTTATAAGTCCATTTTATTCTTTTAAGTTTTCAGAGAAAATTGTCTATTTTTTAATACTAAAATATGTGGGCACGGAATTAGGAATAGTCATCTACTATCACTTATTATTCTCCTTTCTAGCTTTTATAATAGTTTCCTTTTTGTCTCTATTTTTGTTTGTGATTTTCTACTTTCATTGGTCAGATTTACCGGAAGTTTGTCTGTTGTATTTTTTCATCAAAATTTTCTTCATATATTTATAAAAGGTACTTTAAAAAATTCATTAATTTCCGTTTTTATCTTTATTATTTTTCTGTCTGTATTATTTAGGAATTTTATTCATTTGTTTGTTTGCCTGATTGCTGTTTACATCTTTCAACTTGAGTTGGATTATAATATTTTCTTTTAAAAATGTTAATAATAAAAGTTAAAATTATATATTTGCCTTTTAGGGCAATTATTAGTTTATTCAACAGTCTTACTGAATGTTGGCTGGGGGCCAGGCAATATTTCAGGTGCTGGGGATAGAACAGTGAACAAAACAGACAAAAGTCCCTAGCTTCATGGAGCTTATATTCTAGTAGGAGATGGTGAAAATTAAGTTAAAGATGTAATATATTATGTAGTATATGAGAAAGTGATAAATTCTAGGAAAATAACAACAGCAGAAATGGGAGATAAGGAATTCTGGAGAGTAGAATTTGTAACATAATTAATGCTATAATTTTATTTTTGTCTAAATAGTATGAATTTGCATTTTTTGCTTCTCCTTTGCCAATATTTATTGAAAAGAATGCTTTACATTTTCTAAATGGATTTTAAAACTCTTATGATTTATTTCTAGCTTCGTTGAATTGTGGTTGGAGGATGTGGCCTGTGCAGATTTTGCGTTGGTGTATTTATTAGTGTTTTCTTTGTGGCGGGGCTGTGTCAGTTTGCGTTGTTCTCAGTGCAAGTGCCTGAAAACCCAGCTGAGGGGCTTGAATGACTAAGGGGCTGATTTGTGCCCTACGACAAGTCCACAGGAGAAAGCCCAGGACCGCCTTGAAGGAAGCAGGCTCTTTCTGTTTTCCTGCTCTGCCAACTTATGGAGATGGTGCTGCTGCATCTTGGGCATCCTGTGTATGGTCCAAGCAGGAAGGAAGAGGAACAGGGAGAGGAGGCACATGTAGATTTGTGTTTCTGTCTCTTTGGCAAGAACTGAACCATATGGGCACTGCCAGCCACAAGACAGCCTAGCTGGGCTTGTTTTCAGTTTTCTAATCTCTAGCTTAGAGCATAAAGTTTATAATGATTGTTAGATAGGCCAACCTAATGAATCTAGTACAATATCAATTTTCATATATGTAACAAAGATACAGAAACTATATATTTTTTGTAGGGGGTCCTTTGCTCTCCTATATTAAAAATTATTTATGTCATTGTTTATTTTTTGCATACTTGACCTGTCAAAAGCTAAAAGTGGTCTAATAAAGTCTTGTGGAATAAACATATTTTTGTTTCTGCTTTTATTTTAAATAATTCTTACTTCCTATATTTTAACACCATTTTATTGAGTGCTTAAAGGCCAATGGTAGCTCTTTATTGTGGACTGATGCCTTTTATCCTGTTTCTTTCTTTTTGACTTGAATACTCTTTTATGCAATTTATGGCATAAAATAAATTGTGCTTTATTTTAATTTGCACTGGGCTGGAACATCTTGGCCCACTCTTTAATTGTATTTAGTTAATTGTCTTTAATTGATTTTCATATTTCCAACTAAACTTTTTATCTCTTATTTTCATCATATACTTCCTCATTTATTTATTCACTCATCCATCATAAATATTTGGTGAGAAACTGATGTGCCAAGCAGTTATTGATGTTGGAGATACAACAGGAAAAAAAACAAAGACTATAATTGTGAGACTATTACATTACAGTGAACAAGTATGATCTAAGGAAAGTAATAATTAAATAACTTTATGAAGTTGAATGGACACCATTCAACTTCATAACTATGGGCCTAGTTTTATCCTGGCCCATTTCCTCTTCTTCCCCTGGCTCCAATATAATTGAGTCAAAAGAACTAGCTTAGCGGATGGGGAGGGGCAGTAGCAGTGTCAGGAAAGAGACAAGAAACCAGGGAAGCAGGATAAATTGTGTAAAGGAGCATCACGTCAAAAAGAAAGAAAGAGGATAAAAGGCATCAGTCCACAATAAAGAGCTACCATTGGCCTTTAAGCACTCAATAAATGCCATGAGAGAAAGGAGGAGGAAGGGGCTAGGTTATGTTTGTCCTGTTTTATTTCAAACTCACCAAGCAGATACGTTTCTACACTTCTTTGGTGGAGGAGTTAAAGGAGAGAGCAAAGGGAGACCAGGAGTGTTATTTTAGAAAAACAAGGAAGGAAACATGGGGAGTGAGAAGTGCTTTTTCTTATGCAATTCATCTTTGTAAGGCTGTTTCCCACATTTCCTCTTCTCTCTCCAATCTTCTGGCATGTGCTCATAGCTTAGCTTTCACCTGGGGCAGACCAATCAGGTCTTTTGCTTTTCAGATCATTCCCAGATTGCTTTCTTCTACCACCAGGTTGGATCTCTATTGAACCTGTACGTTGTAATCTTGTGTTTTTATTCTCATTTGCTGTGGACTTGAGGCCTTGTGGGTGTGCATACCAGAAAAGTTGGGAGAGAGAGTATCTGCAGTGCAAATTATGGTCAAAAGTAAACACTTCAAAAATCAATTACTCTATCCATTCAGGAAATTTAAGTGACTTGTCCTCAACCCCACAACTCAGAAGTGGAAGAATCAGAATTCTAAGAAAGAGTTTCTTACTTTTGGTTTTGTGCTCAGTCTACAAGCAATATCTCATTTTTTAGTGTTTCTTTTTAAACATTTCCTCCTTTTTTTCAATGTTTCTTGATTTCCTAGCCTATTTCTCTTTAGCCTGCAGATGAGATTAGAGAATGCCAGAGGAATTCTAGAGGACAGACATAGATGAGAATGGCTTTCCTTATATGTTTGAGAGAATTTGTATGAAAGTACTTTGATGGTTGTGTGCACATTCCTTGTTTGATAGGTGCTGTTATCTTCTAAATGCACAGTCCCTGATAATTCACACTGGAGTGTGGACAAGTGGGTTGGAACAGAAAGAAACAGTCTATTTCCTGAAGATTCTTTTTTAACTGGTAAATCTCCCCATCAGGACATTTTTTTTCCACCTTCTTTTGGGTAGATTCATTGGCCAATACAATTGACCCTTGAACAATAGGGTTTGAAATGCATGGGTCCAATTATATGCAGATTTTTTTTTCAGCTAAACATGGATGGAAATACAGTCTTGTAGGCTATGACATGCACTTATACCAAGGGCCGACTGTGAGACTTGAGTATGTGAGGACTTTGGATTGTCCTGGACCCAATCCTCCTTGAACGATGAGGCATGACTGTAATACTTTTTCCAGCTGAGGGTCTTAGTACTAACTTCTGCTTCATTTCCTCATCATCCACACCCTCACCTGAACCCACCTCCCTTAGTTTCAGGCTCAGTCTTGCCCAGTTTCCAGAATTTTTTTTTAACCCATTAACTTTTGAGAAAAAAGTACTATAAAACTTTTTTTAATACTTTAAATTCTGGGGTACATGTGCAGAACATGCAGGTTTGTTACATAGGTACACATGTGCCATGGTGGTTTGCTGTACCCATCAACCTATCATCTACATTAGGTATTTCTCCTAATGCTATCCCTCCCGTAGACCCCCAGCCCCCAACAGGCCCTGGTGTGTGATGTCCCCCTCCCTGTGTCCATGTGTTTTCATTGTTCAACTCCCACTTATGAGTGAGAACATGTGGTGTTTGGTTTTCTATTCTTGTATTAGTTCGCTGAGAATGATGGTTTCCAGTGTCATCTATGTCCCTGCAAAGGACATGAACTCACACCTATTGCTTGTTTTTCTCAGGTTTGTCAAAGATCAGATGGTTGTAGATGTGTGGCGTTATTTCTGAGGCCTCTGTTCTGTTCCATTGGTCTATATATCTGTTTTGGTACCAGTACCATGCTGTTTTTGTTACTGTAGCCTTGTGGTATAGTTTGAAGTCAGGTAGCGTGATGCCTCCAGCTTTGTTCTTTTTGCTTAGGATTGTCTTGGCTATGCAGGCTCTTTTTTGGTTCCATATGAAATTTAAAGTAGTTTTTTCCAATTCTTTGAAGAAAGTCAATGGTAGCTTGATCGGGATAGCATTGAATCTATGAATCACTTTGGGCAGTATGGCCATTTTGAGGATATTGATTCTTCCTATCCATAAGCATGGAATGTTTTTCCATTTGTTTGTGTCCTCTCTTATTTCCTTGAGCAGTGGTTTGTAGTTCTCCTTGAAGAGGTCCTTCACATCCCTTGTAAATTGGATTCCTAGGTATTTTATTCTCTTTGTAGCAGTTGTGAATGGGAGTTCAGTCATGATTTGGATCTCTGTTATTGGTGTATAGGAATGCTTGTGGTTTTTCACATTGATTTTGTATCCTGAAACTTTGCTGAATTTACTTATCAGCTTAAGGAGATTTTGGGCTGAGACAATGGGGTTTTCTAAATATACAATCATGTCATCTGCAAACAGGGACAATTTGACTTCCTCTTTTCCTAATTGAATACCCTTTATTTCTTTCTCTTGCTTGATTGCCCTGGCCAGAAATTCCAATACTATGTTGAATAGGAGCAGTGAGAGAGGGCATCCTCGTCTTGTGCCGGTTTTCAAAGGGAATGCTTCCAGTTTTTGGCCATTTAGTATAATATTGGCTTTGGGTTTGTCATAAATAGCTCTTATTATTTTGAGATACGTTCCATCAATGCCTAGTTTATTGAGAGTTTTTTAGCATGAAGGGCTGTTGAATTTTACTGAAGGCCTTTTCTGCATCTATTGAGATAATCATGTGGTTTTTGTCATTGATTCTGTTTATGTGATGGATTATGTTTATTGATTTGTGTATGTTGAACCAGCCTTGCATCCCAGAGATGCAAGCTGACTTGATCATGCTGGATAAGCTCTTTGATGTGCTGCTGGATTCAGTTTGCCAGTATTTTATTGAGGATTGTTGCATTGATGTTCATTAGGGATATTTGCCTGAAATTTTCTTTTTTTGTTGTGTCTCTGCCAGGTTTTGGTGTCAGGGTGATGCTAGCCTCATAAAATGAGTCAGGGAGGATCCCCTCTTTTTCTATTGTTTGGAATAGTTTCAGGAGGAATGGTACCAGCTCCTCTTTGTACCTCTTATAGAATTTGGCTGTGAATCTGTCTGGTCTTGGACTTTTCTTGATTGGTAGGGTATTAATTGCTGCCTCAATTTCAGAACTTGTTGGTCTATTCAGGGATTCAACTTCTTCCTGGTTAGTCTTCGGAGGGTGTCTGTGTCCAGGAATTTATCCATTTGTTGTAGATTTTCTAGTTTATTTGTGTAGAGGTGTTTATAGTATTCTCTGATGGTAGTTTGTATTTCTGTGAGATTGGTGGTGATATCCCCTTTATCATTTCTTATTGTGTCTATTTGATTCTTCTCTCTTTTCTTCTTTATTAGTCTGGCTAGCAGTCTATCTATCTTGTTGATCTTTTCAAAAATCCAGCTCCTAGATTCATTGATTTTTTGAAGGGTTTTTCGTGTCTCTATCTTCTTCCGTTCTGCTCTGATCTTAGTTATTTCTTGCCTTCTGCTAGCTTTTGAATTTGTTTGCTCTTGCTTCTTTAGTTATTTTAATTGTGATGTTAGGGTGTTGATTTTAGATCTTTCCTACTTTCCTTTGTAGGCATTTAGTGCTATACATTTCCCTCTGCACACCACTTTAAATGTGTCCCAGAGATTCTGGTACATTGTGTCTTTCTTCTCATTTGTTTCAAAGAACATCTTTATTTCTGCCTTCATTCTGTTATGTACCCAGTAGTCATTCAGGAGCAGGTTGTTCACTTTCTATGTAGTTGTGTGGTTTTGAATGAGTTTCTTAATTCTGAGTTCTAATTTGATTGCACTGTGGTCTGAGAGACTGTTATGATTTCCATTCTTTTGCATTTGCTGAGGAGTGTTTTATTTCCAATTATGTGGTCAATTTTAGAATAAGTGCAATGTGGTGCTGAGAAGAATGTATATTCTGTTGATTTGGGGTGGATAGCTCTGTAGATGTCTATTAGATTTGCTTGGTCCAGAGCTGAGTTCAGGTGCCTGGATATCCTTGTTAATTTTCTGTCTCGTTGAACTGTCAAATATTGACAGTGGGGTATTAAAGTCTCCCACTATTGTTGTGTGGGAGTCTAAGTCTCTTTGTAGGCCTCAAATAACTTGCTTTATGAATCTGGGTGCTCCCGTATTGGGTGCATATATATTTAGGATAGTTAGCTCTTCTTGTTGCATTGATCCCTTTACCATTATGTAATGCCCTTCTTTGTCTCTTTTTATCTCTGTTGGTTTAAAGTCTGTTTTATCAGAGACTAGGATTGCAACAGCTGCTTTTTTTTTTTCTTTCCATTTGCTGGGTAAATATTCCTCCATCCCTTTATTTTGAGCCTATTTGTGTCTCTGCACATGAGATGGGTCTCCTGAATACAGCACACCGATGGGTCTTGACTCTTTATCCAGTTTGCTACTCTGTGTCTTTTAATTGGTGCATTTATCCCATTTACATTTAAGGTTAATATTGTTATGTGTGAATTTGATCCTGTCATTATGATGCTAGCTGATTATTTTGTACATTAGTTGATGTAGTTTCTTCATAGCTTCAATGGTCTTTACAATTTGGTATGTTTTTGCAGTGGCTGGTACCAGTTATTCCTTTTCATGTTCAGTGCTTCCTTCAGGAGCTCTTGTAGGGAAGTCCTGGTGGTGACAAAATCTCTCAGCATTTGCTTGTCTGTAAAAGATTTTATTTCTCCTTCACTTATGAAGCTTAGTTTGGCTGGATATGAAATTCTGGGTTGAAAATTCTTTTCTTTAAGAATGTTGAATATTGGCCCCCACTCTCTTCTGGCTCGTAGGTTTTCTGCCCAGAGATCCACTGTTAGTCTGATGGGCTTCCCTTTGTGGGTAACCTGACCTTTCTCTCTGACTGCCCTTAACATTTTTTCCTTCATTTCAACCTTGGTGAATCTGATGATTATGTGTCTTGGGGTTGTTCTTCTCAAGGAGTATCTTTGTGGTGTTCTCTGTATTTCCTGAATTTGAATGTTGGCCTGCCTTGCTAGGTTGGGGAAGTTCTCCTGGATAATATCCTGAAGAGTGTTTTCCAACTTGGTTCAATTCTCCCTGTCACTTTCAGGTACACCAATCAAACATAGAGTTGGTCTTTTCACATAGTCCCATACTTCTTGGAGGCTTTGTTCGTTTCTTTTCACTCTTTCTTCTCTAATCTGGTTTTCTCACTTTATTTCATTGTGTTGATCTTCAATCCCTGATATCTTTTCTTCCGCTTGATCAGTTTGGTTATTGATACTTGTGTATGCTTCATGAAGTTCTCACGCTGCATTTTTCAGCTCCATCAGGTCATTTATGTTCTTTTCTATACTAGTGATTCGTCTAACCTTTTTTCAAGGTTCTTAGCTTCCTTGCTTTGGGTTAGAACATGCTCCTTTAGCTCGGAGGAGTTTGTTATTACCCACTTTCTGAAGCCTACTTCTGTCAATTCGTCAAACTCATTCTCTGTCCAGTTTTGTTCCCTTGCTGGTGAGGAGTTGTGATCCTTTGGAGGAGAAGAGGCATACTAAGTTTTGGAATTTTCAGCGTTTTTGCCCTGGTTTCTCCCCATCTTTGTGGATTTATCTACCTTTGGTCTTTGAAGTTGGTGACCTTTGGATGGGGTCTCTGAGTGGACGTCCTTTTTGTTGATGTTGATACTATTCCTTTCTGTTAGTTAGTTTTCCTCCTAACAGTCAGGCCCTTCTGCTGCAGGTCTGCTGGAGTTTGCTGTCTCCGGCAGAGGCTGTAGACCAGCAAAGATTGCTGCCTGTTCCTTCCTCTGGAAGCTTCCTCCCTGAGGGGCACCCGCCACATGCCAGCCAGGGCTCTTCTGTATGAGGTGTCTGTCCGCCCCTACTGGGAGGTGTCTTCTAGTCAGGACACATGGGGGTCAGGGATCCAATTGAGGAGGCAGTCTGTCCCTTATCAGAGCTCAAACACTGTGCTGGTAGATCCATTGTTCTCTTCAGAGCTACCAGGTAGGGATGTTTAAGTTTGCTGAAGCTGCACCCACAACCGCCCCTTCCCCCAGTCCCTGACTGGGGCTGCTGCCTTTTTGTTTTCAGAGATGCCCTGCCCAGAGAGGAGACAGTCTGGCCACAGCTGACTTGCTGAGCTTGGGTGGGCTTTGCCGAGTTCAAACTTCCTGGTGGCTTTCTTTACACTGTGAGGGTGAAACTGTCTACTCAAGCCTCAGCAATGGTGGATTCCCCTCCCCCTACCAAGCTCAAGCATCCTAGGTTGAGCTCATACTGTTGAGCACAGCTCTGCTGTGCTGGCAGGCAGAATTTCAAGCCAGTGGATCGTAGCTTGCTGGACTCCATGGGGGTGGGACCTGCCAAGCCAGACTTCTTGGCTCCCTGGCTTCAGCCCCCCTTTGCAGGGGAGTGAATGGTTCTGTCTTGTTGGTGTTCCAGGTTCCACTGGGGTATGAAGAAAGATTCCTGTGGCTAGCTCAGTGTCTGCCCAAATGGCTTCCCAGTTTTGTGCTGGAAACCCAGGGCCCTGGTGGTGTAGGCACCAGAAGTAATCTCCTGGTCTGGAGTTGCCAAGACTGTAGGGAAAGTGCAGTATCTGTGTGAGAGTGCACGGTATAGTCCCTAATGGCTTCCCTTGGCTGGGACAGGGAGTTCCCGGACCCCTTGCACTTCCCCACCCTGCTTTCGCTCGCCCTCCTTGGGCTGCACCACTGTCCAGCCAGTTTCAATCAGATGAACCAGGTAACTCAGTTGGAAATGCAGAAATCACCTGCCTTCTGCGTCGATCTCGCTGGGAGCTGCAGACCTGAGCTCTTCCTGTTTGACCATCTTGCCAGCAACCCCCAAGTACTATAAAACATTTCAAATGCACATAAAAACAGAATAGTACAATAATCCTCACATACTCATCAGCCAGAATCAACAATTATTAAAACTGTGGCACACTGCACTATGTACTTTTTTCTTTGTTGAAATATTTTAAAAGGCATATCCTACACTTAAAATCATTTTGCCTCTACACACTTCAATATGGATTGAGGGACAAGCTATTAAATGCCATCAACATTCTTCTAAGAGGTGTAGAATGTATTCTCCAGGTTCCTCACTTTCCAAATTCATTTATACACATCCCACACATTTAGTGTCTAAATGTTGAACTCAACTATATAAATTATAAATTAAACAAATCAATCGATTGTGTTCACTCTAATATCTGGAAGAAAAAAGTCAACATAATTTAAAAATCAATCTATGAGTCAACAGATTTATTGAGTGGTGAATCAGCTGGATGGAGGGGCTGGGAAACCCAGCTGGGATGGCTGCTGCTTCTCCAGTAGGCTGCTACAGAGCAGGAGACTCTGACTTCCTCCTTCCCCAACCATGTCACTAGAGTGACTGTGATGGAAGCCCTGGTCCCTCCTGCACTGTTTCTACTCAGCTGTGCAGAAATCTGCTGCCTTCCACAATGAAGCCATTCTCTAAGACCAGCCAGAGTCCCACCTACTGAAAGACTGTAGTGAAGTCATTCCTAATTATGCCTTCCAGTTAGCACTGTCTTCAGCACACAATTGAGCAATTACTGCTTCATGCATACATCTTACCTTCCTGGGTGGACTGCAAGACATCAAGGATAAGAACTATGTTTTGCCTTCTATAATGTAACTTAAAGTGCCCAATAATGATGGCATAGCAGGCACTCAATATATATTAAGGGGCAAATGCAGCTCAGCTTGAACTTTCACTGGGCTGAAGTTGCTTAGTGTCAATTTTTCTGCTTAGAATCAACTCATAAGAGAGAGAAAAGAAAAAAAAACCCTGCAGAGGCATTTTTGCCTAAGAATGTGGATAAAAAGACATGCTGCACTGTCTTTCATCCATCTACTTGTGCAGCCTGCCCTACAAGTCCACTTAAACCCTGTCCATTTTGCCTTTGCTTGAACAATGTAAAATGTCTTTTTCTTTTTCTTCCCTTGTGCAAATGACTAAGGCAATTGTTTGTTGTTGGCAGGTACTGCGGTATGACCGCATGTTTAAGAGTCCTAAAACCCTATGTAAGAAGTCAGTCCCTAACTGAACCCATACCCAAATCAACAGGCTCATTCCTGCGGCAGCACCATGGTGCCACCAAGTGGACAGCTTTTGAACAATTAAACTCACTGTGAACTGGCAAATCATTTTGGAACTGGAGCATTTATGGCCCACTCACTTAAGTAAGTGAGTTGTAGATTTTATACTCTTTAATCTTATACCTTGTATGTTTGATGAATTCTAACAATTGCTTCACATGTGCTTCTTGAAATTTTATTCTCTTTAACTCCTATTTGTGATTTAAGAAAATTCTTAATGAAAACATTTATGATGTACAATAACATGGGCACTTACCTTTCCTTTCACTATATTTTGAGAGAAAACAAGTTCTCCATTTTATCTGGGTCAGTTTTTAAAAGATTAATTATATTTCCTAGGGAAGTCTACTTAAAGGGGAAGAATGCTTGCTTCTATGATATATATGTTGGCTATGTGCTGTTTTATTGTTTGACACTTTCTGCAGTTAATCTTACATCTTGCTGTTCAGAACATCAAACAAATGGTGCTGGTGCAATTGAACATCCATCTACAGAAAATAAACCCAACTGTTACCTTGAACCATAAACAAAAATTAACTTGAAAAGGATCTGATTGTCACAAACACTTTAAGCCCCAGCTGACTGCCCACTTTGAGAAAATCCTTGAAGAAGCAAAGGCAGTTCTAGCACACTTTACTCTCTTTTACTTACCTGAAGCTAAAAGTATCTCACCTACATTTTCCTCAGTGGAGACCCCATATGATGAATTTTCTTTTTTAAAAAATAAAAAGGTATTTGTTTATTTCAATATTAAATATTTCTTTCTCTTTTTTTTTCCCCTGAGACAGAGTTTTGCTCTTGTTGCCCAAGCTGGAGTGCAACAGCATGATCTTGGCTCACTGCAGCCTCTGCCTCCCAGGTTCAAGTGATTCTCTTGCCTCGGCCTCCCAAGTTGCTGGAATTACAGGTGCATGCCACCACACCTGGCTAATTTTTTTTTTTTTTTTTGTATTTTTAGTAGAGACGGGGTTTCACCATGTTGGTCAGGCTGGTCTCAAACTCCTGACCTCAAGTGATCCACCTGCCTTGGCCTCCCAAAGTGCTGGGATTACAGGCATGAGCCACCGTAACTGGCCACTTATTAAATATTTCTAAAAGTCTATCTTGGCTCTATATAACTTAGGGAAGTATATAGTTTTATCTTATATGGGAGGATTAAAAAGAATTTAATTTATATCCCATAAAACATTCATAAAATGTAGGCAAGTGCATTGGACTAGCAGCCGTGAGATACAAAGTCTACTCTCAGGGATGGATGTTTCTTTCTTTCTCTTTCTTTTTCTTTCTTTTCTTTTCTTTTCTATTCTTTCTCTTTCTTTCTCTCTTTCTTTCTTTCTCTCTCTCTCTTTCTTTCTTTCTTCTCTTTCTCTCTCTCCCTACCTCCCTCCCTCCCTCCCTTCCTTTCTTCCCTCCCTCCTTCTTTCCTTCTTTTCTTTTCTTTTCTCTCCCTCTTTTTTTTTTTTTTTTTTTTTTTTTTTTTGAGACGAAGTCTCCCTGTGTCGCCCAGGCTGGAGTGCAGTGGTGCGATCTCAGCTCACTGCAAGCTCCGCCTCCCAGGTTCACACCATTCCCCTGCCTCAGCCTCCCGAGTAGCTGGGACTACAGGCGCCCGCCAGCACGCCCAGCTAATTTTTTTGTATTTTTTAGTAGAGACGGAGTTTCACCGTGTGTTAGCCAGGATGGTCTTGATCTCCTGATCTCATGATCTGCCCGCCTCGGCCTCCAAAAGTGCTGGGATTACAGGCGTGAGCCACGGCGCCCGGCCTCCTTTTCTTTTTTCTTTGCTTTTTTTTTTTCTTTTCTTTGCTTTGCTTTGCTTTTGATAGAGGTCTTGCTGTGTTGCCTAGGCTGGTCTCCTGGGCTCAAGCAATCCTCTCGCCTCAGCCTCCCTCCCACCTCAGCCTCCCGAGTAGCTGGGATTACAGGTGCACCCAGCTCCAGGGCTGTTTCAAATCACTAGTGTGGCCACATATAAGACACTTAAGACTCTCTCTTAGTTTCCACTTTTGTAAAATGAGGTAGTTAATGCCCCCCTCTAAAAAAATTTGTGTATTCCTAAGAGCATTTGTTCTGCTGTTAATAAGGAGGCCGGGCAGGATCTTTTAAATTCTTTCCTTGTCTCCTGTTTGTTTTTCATGACTGTGCATATTTGCAAGTTATTATACTTACAAAATGAACTCTTTACTTAAAAGCTGTTATTCTTGACACCTGAAACTAATTTTAATGGACACTTGTGGAACATTTCTCAGAGCTATATATTTCTTTCACATTTTCTAAATGCATATTACAACAAATGTATTTCTATATTTTTGCCAAATTTCAAATATGTTTAAATAATAGCTTCAGAACCATATATCCGAAATGTACTATTTAAAAATACCTACACTATTTTCCATAAAAGGAAAGGCACAGATTGACCTCAGTGCATTGCATCTTGACCCACCATGCCAGGGTGAATGCCACCACACATAAGATCTGCAGGTATAAAAGAGGCATGAAGATGTAGTGAGCATGCATTGGACAAGCAATAAGAAGCCTTGGATTTCATTCAGCCTGAATCTACTACATCTAAGCGCCTGAGCTTGTGGAAAATCACTTGATGGGTTTGAGCCTCTGTTTCCTTATGTGTAAAATGGTGATAATAAATCCTACCTAATACATTTGGTTGTTCTAAGGGTCAAATGAAATAAGGTTCAAGGAAGTGTGCTGAAACTCTGAAGGGCAACTGTGATGGAAATCTTTTGTTTAGTAGGAGGAAATTAAAAAGGATTAGGAAGGTGGGGGAATACCATAATCAAGGGTGATTTAGAACCATTAGCAAAAAGTAATTGTGTTCTCTTGTAGAATTGTCAGAGCCATGAGCTCTTCCTCATCCCTTTCTCCTTGTTATGTGAATGATGGGAGCAGACACGACCTTCTGTCCATGATCCATTTAGTTCAGATAATAGGAAAGGATGTTGCAGTCTAAGGATCAACAGAACAATAGAAGAACAAGGGGGAGAAAGAGGGCAGAAGAGGAGGGGGACAGAAATCAACATTACATTATCATGGTGGCGAGTCAGACATGGTGGCAACCACTGTGTGTACTGTTTTTTTTTTTTTCATGCAGAGATGGCTTTTGGATTCCCAGTGGTAGGAAGAGAAGCTTAAATGGATGAATACAAAATAATTATTAAAAAATGAAATAGAGAATTATTAGGAATTTTCTCTTTTAAAAAAGAGGAGGTCTGTAGTCTTTAAAAATGTCAGCATCATAAAAGACGAAGAAAGGCTGTGGAAGTGTTCTAGATAAAAGGAGACTATAAAATACATAACAAATAAATACTTGATCTAGGCTGAGATCTGTACTGGAGGAGAAAAAAAATGCTATAAAGGACATTACTATCTCAATTGACAAGATTGGAATATGGATGGCAAATTAGATAAAAGTACTGTATCAATGCCAAATTTACTAAAGTTGAAAATTGTACTATAGTTATAAATATAGTAAGCAAATACTCCTATTGTTAGGAAACACACTGAATTATTTAGGAATGATGGGCCATGATGATGTAACTAATCTTTAAACTGTTCAGGAATAAAAATATTGAGAGAGAGGGAGAGAGAAAGCAAAAGGGTGAGAAAATGGGGTGAAAATGGGGTAAAAAATGGGCATAAAAATGTTATAATAACATTTAACATCTATATGGCTCTTAGTCATTTATGAAGTACTTTGACATACTTTGTTTTCTTTAATCCTCATTAAGAAAGCCCCATTTTACCAATAAGGAAACTGACAATCAGAGATTTCTTGTGAGACTTTGGCTAAATCATGTTTGTATCTTCATTGCCTCTCTTGGTGAATGCATGAAGGAAGGAAGGCAGGGATGATGAATTGACTTGTCCCAATTCACAGACCTAGAGTTGCAAAGATAGGACTGAGAACTACAGTTCGATACCTTTTTACTACTTTGCAGCTGTTAAGTACTACACAACACACTCAAATCTTTGCAGCTGTTAAATACCACACAACACATCCAAATCATAGATCAGGATTAGCCATTATTTAGTTACTCTTTGGTGATTCACAAGTCATATAATCTTACAGTGCCTTAAGCTTTAACTTTTTGTAGGCCAGTTATCACCCTGTAGCTAAGGGAAATGCCAGTTGAAAAAACGTTAAATTCTGGAAGAGTGAGACTTATCTTGCAGTAAACCTCAATACATTGCTTTTGCAGGAGATGCTATTTAATCCAACAAGGTAAAATTATTTTATACAGACATTTTGCCTAAGCATAGGAATGAAAAAGATGTTATCAAGGTATCTATACTGCTTATTTTGGTGGTAAACCTTACCCCCAGTATGAAATATTGTGTACTGTTATGTTGAGCACTTCAAATCTTTTTTTATTTTTTATTCTCAGCATTTGAATGAAAATCCTAGATAGCTAAAGGATTTTTTTCTCACAGGTGAAGAAGAAGCACATTATCAGCAGCAGAAATGGTTTCTGGGAATTTATTATCAGTCATCTTTGTTTTAATCAGTGCCAAGTATTTTTTGACATTTGCTGAACTTGGTTTCCTTTTAAAGTGCAAGAAGTTGTCATAATTAAAAGCAATGGCAGCACATAAATGAAGAAAAATGGAAGTATTCAAAATGAGAATGGAATCCTAGGCTGCAGGTGCTGGGAAAGACTGCCTAGTCTAAGCACACATACCTGGGTGATGAAGAAAATCAGGTATCAGTGACAGCTGTGAGAATATGTCATGACTCAGTCTACATTCATGGGTGAGTCTTTAGTCAACCTGTTGACCCGCCTTTTTTAAATTGAGTAATGAATCCACTTCTGGATACTCATGTGGAGATGTGTTACAGTTGGGAGATGACAGAAATGTCATCGTGGAAAAATAGCTGGGCATTTGACAAGGCTTGAAATGTGATTATACCAACTGACTGCTGCTTGGTAATCAAACTTCAAATGAGCAGTACTTTGGGGCAAACAGACATGGCTCATGACTCCCCAGTCTGCATTCAGCTCTCCATCCCTCCTCTGATATATTGTATTGCTCTGCTCACCAGGAAATTAAAAATCAGAGGCCAGTTGATTCTTCTTACTTTTTTTTGAGACAGGGGTCTTGCTATGTTGCCCAGGCTGGTCTTCAACTCCTGGGCTCAAGCCTCTACCTTCTGAGTAGCTGGGATTACAAATGCCCACTAGTGTGCCCAGAGCAAGAGAATTCTTAATGCTTAGCCAAAAGCAAATGTTTTAAGCAGTATTTTTATATACATTCCTATTTGAGTAATTAATAGCAAGATAATCTTCTCTGGCAAGTTATCCATCCTTCATGAGTATTCCGCTTGTAATTAGAAGCTTGTGCCGATGTGAGCAGACAAGCCTATAGGGCTCATTTTCAGGAGAGAAAATTTATTCCTTAATTCAGTATACCTTATTCAGTGTATTTTTATTGTTCGGTAAACATAGTACCTACCGCATGCCATGGATTAAAGATTCAAAGTGAATAAACTGACTCCCTGCTTTTTATAATTGGAAGGACAGATAATTAAACATGATTACATATGGACACAAAACATTATATACACTAAGATAGGATAGAGTGGGCACATGTTTCTATGGGAGAATTTTTGATAGGCACCTAACCTACCCTTTAATAGTCACTTGACCCCTTTGCAGATGAGGGAAAGGTCTGGGGGAGAAGACAGTTAAGCAGAGCATTTAAGCGCACATATAAGCCAGAAAAGGGGAACAGAAGAGAAGAGAAAAATCTAAGCAGAAGGGCTAAAATGTGCAAAGGTCAGGAGGCAAAACAAAGAGCATGGTAGATTTTTGGAACTGCAAGAAATTGGTACAGCTGGAGCTAAGGAAGGGCCAGATCATGAAGGTCTTCAAATGCTGTTCCAAGAAGTTTGGATTTTACTCTAATGGTTCTAAGGCAACGCTGAAGGGTTTTTAACAGGAAGGAGAATGGTTGAATGCACGGAGAAGGCATTGGCATGTGGGTGAGCCTGGAGGCATGGATTCTAGTTGGGAAGCTATTGTGACAATGCCAGCTGAGGAAGCAAAGTGCCTGAAGGACTACAATTCACATCCCCAATGTGACAGCCTTCCTACAGCTGTGTGCTGTGAATTGAAAGTTTGTGAGGAAAGAAGAGGTGAGGATAGAGGAATTTTGAGCTCTTCTGTGCTCTTTGCCCTTTTAAGTGTTGTTAAATCATGGCATCTTCATTTTTAGAGACTCATGCACTCAGAATAGTGTGGTCTGAATACTGTAACTTGATAGAAGAAAAAAACTCATGTTACTCAACACTGAAATAGAGTAATGACACTTGAGTACCTAACAGCCAGATCCAACATGTTAGGGATATTAACAGAGTTGTCAAATTTCACCAGTTCTTACTAATACACTCTTTTGTGTTTATCGTATGACTTGTTCATGAAATACTTACAAATAAATTCATCCATAGGTTAGAGATTAAAATTTTTCCTTCATGAATTCTTAGTTTTAGAGTGAAGAAGACTGTATCTTGTTCACCCAGTGCCTCAGACAGGAACTAGCATATAGTAAGTGCTTAATAGGAGGTTGAAAGTCAAGAATTAAAAACATGCTCCCTGAAATTAATTTTCTGGGACTTTTAATAATTCTCATAAAAATTATAAGGAATTTAACATCAAACAAATATTAACTGGATATAAAATAAGCAAACGCCATATTCATTTGGTATAAATGTAGCTTCAGTTTTATTTGTATGACTTGCAAAAACTCAGTGGGAAATGTGTGGGTGCACCTGAGTGAAGAATTTGGTATTTTGAAACTTAGAACTATTTGAAATGAAAAAAATTGAGTGGTTAAAATAATAGATGGGATGAACTAGGGGTTTAAGGGTGACTCATAATTTTCTTCTCAAGGCTGTGACTCCAGAAAACCCAAGTTCTAGCTTCCTCTAATGCCTACAGAGATGATTCTAGATCAAGGACTGGAGAGCTTTTGAATAAAAGAATTGGGAAAGCCTATGTGTATACATATACCTAACCATCAATTGTGTCCAAATCTTCAGACACAATTATAATATTTATATAATATATACTTATAATTTGTAATTATAAAAACCTCTTAGATTTAAGAAAAATCATATACTTAAAAAATGTTAGTATTGCATTTTCCTGGTCATCTTGAGTGATGCTCTTGAAACATGAAACCTTTATTTTTTCTTTCTTTCTTTCTTTTTTTTTTTGGAGACAGAGTCTCGCTCTGTCGCCCAGGCTGGAGTGCAGTGGCACGATCTCGGCTCACTGCAAGCTCCGCCTCCCAGGTTCACGCCATTCTCCTGCCTCAGCCTCCCGAGTAGCTGGGACTACAGGTGCCCGCCACCACGCCGGGCTAATTTTTTGTATTTTTAGTAGAGACGGGGTTTCACTGTGTGTTAGCCAGGATGGTCTCGATCTCCTGACCTCGTGATCCGCCCGCCTTGGCCTCCTAAAGTGCTGGGATTACAGGCATGAGCCACCGCACCTGGCCAAAACCTTTATTTTTTCAATAGAAGAACAATAGTGCAGCATTTTATATATCTGTGCTCTTATATAACAGTACAGGCATGAAACTCTATTACACTAAACAAATTATGTACTGAATGCATGCTACCATTTTCTTTAAAATGTTCTTTGTATTTTAGGCATAACAGCGCTGCATACAGGAATAATATTTTCATGGAGACTCCTTACTAGATATTTAATAAAGGTCAGTCGCTACCAGTGATGTTCGTAACACCTTGCCCCGAGAAAATTTGCCTTTGAGTATATTATTCTAGATGCCTTTTTTTCTTACTGATATAGGATGTAATTTTATTTAGTTTTAAATTTAAGTTATATGCATCCAAGGAGCTTTTCCATTTTTCTTTGCTACTGCCTATACGATGCCTTAGTTTATTTAACAAGAGTTCCAAGTGGGGAACATGGAGAATTTTAGTGTAAGTGGAAATACTGGGACTTGCATTTTCCTGTTGGTGGCAGCACTTCCCTTGCTTTCTGTGTCCAGGACAGGAAGAGTTTGAATTGAAAGTAATCAGATCAAATTGAGCATTCAGGAAGGGGATATTTGAGTACAGAATGTCTTGAATCAATTAGGTGAATAATAATGAAACGATTATGTATGTACAGTAAAGCAACTTCATTTTTAAAAAACAAATTCACAAAAACAAATTGATTTAGAGATGATATATTTACAGGACAAAAAAAAGGCAAAATCTTTCAGCTAGTGAGCTTTTCTATTGAATTTAAAGTTTGATACTGGCATTAAAATTTTTTAATTTTATCAGTTCATTATGTCCTATTTTCTTTCAAGGAATGGAAGATGTTAACAGTAAGAGAAGTTTGTAGACACACCACAGTAAAGTACACTAATTTTGTATGATATAGAATGCTTTGCATTTGACAGCTTTTTGCAGTTCTATAGGCCTATTACTATGCCTCATCTCATTTTCATCTTCTATCAACTATGTGTAATATCCCCAGCACAAGAAACAAAAGGTTATAAAGGTACAGCAAACTCAAGGTCACAACCTGGTGTAGAACCCAGGACTTGTATCATCTAATCCAGCATCACTTCCACAAACCTTCATTCTTAGGAGGTTTTTTGTTTTTATTTTTTAGTGGAGGCATATGTCTATTATAAATTGTTTTGGACACCTGGCTGTATTAAAATATTGTTGCAGAATATTGAGAAATGTCTTTTACATTTGGAAATAATAGACATTTTTTGTATCACATTTAAAAATATTCCTTTCATTTAAAAATGTTTCAGTAAATTTACTATACCCACATATAAATTTAGGATAGATGCTAATCTTCTTAATAAGTTAATGAATATGTGACTGATATTTTACCCTACATTCTGAAATAATAATTTGACATTACTTTTCTTTATCAAGAAAACTATTCACTCATCAGTTTACATCATGCCCTGATTTCATTTGAGGAAATATTTTAAATGTGCCTTTGATCCAATGATTTAAAGAAATATACATAAAACATAAGCCGAATAAGTAGAAAATTATGTGTAACATCACCACCTTGATTTAATAAGAAGGGCAGAATCTAATTTTATTCTGTCCAGAGAAAAAAAAGGATGGAGATGTGCAGAAGCATTGGGCATCCAGGTGATGCGTACCCAATATCAGTCTGTTAAACTGAGTAATTTTTAAAACTACATTTAATCAGTACATAGCTGGTGCTCCATAGTACTGACTGGTTAATTAACTGACTTTGGTAACTTATTGATCTGACTGGCTTTTTCCTTATCTGTTTTCCTATTTGCTGCCTAGTGGCTCCATCTCTTGTCAATTCGTGTCCAGCTTCAGGCAAGGCTTTTCCCTTAAAACTGATTTTCTTGCTGTTCTTTGGTTTAGCTTTGGAAATGTTCTGAAAAGGGCATTGTTTTTGAGCAGGAGTGATGGCAAATGGTGACTGGACTTCCTGTTAAGTGGCTCCTCTGAGTATGGGAGGGATACAACTGCTGTCAATATAGAAAGACACCTGATTTTGTAGAGATGATTTGCTCCATTTGTCACCTAGTGGTGGCTGAACAGAAGTTCTTTTTTCATGTTTTGTTTTGAACAAAAAAGTTCTTAGCCCAAAGGAAAGTGTGAAATAACTGGTGCGGCTCCGTGGCTCTTACTCTCCTGTATGGCCCAGCTCTGGGATCCTCTGAGCTTGTCAAGTCCCTCCACCTTTCCAGCTTCCCCATATCTCTCAGCAATCTGTTTAGCCTAAGCTACTCTGAAGTGGCGTCCCATTTTCTAAAACCATTCTCCATGCCCCACCCCTCCAAGAGAAACATTTTAATTTCAATAGGGACTTTGCCAGCTGGTTCTTAAAAGAGCAGCAATTAAGCCAATTCACACCAATATGTGTAGTAATCGTTATAATAATATTTACATTTTAGAAGAATACACTTTTAAACAAAGAAATTAATTTATAATGACAGAAGTTCATATAGGTAAAGATAGGTTTGAGCCAAGAGTGTACCAGATACTTATTAAGTGGAAATTTATTCTCATTCTTATTAAATCTAGATATTTTGAAGAATAAGAATTTATTTGGATGAAAGCTGGCAATTTGCTTATTAACTGGTGCCATGCTTGGTCAAATTCTGCTTGCATCTGACTGCCCTGTAAATGGCTAAGCTGCCATGTAGTTTAGTCAAGGACAAGCTCAGTAATTTAGTTGAGGACAATCTCACTGCAACCTCTGCCTCCTGGGTTCAAGCAATTCTCCTGCCTCAGCCTCCCGAGTAGCTGGGATTACAGGTACCCACCACCACACCCAGCTAATTTTCATATTTTTAGTACAGACGGGGTTTCACCATGTTGGCCAGGCTGGTCTCAAACTCCTGACCTCAGGTGATACAACCTTCCTTCTCAGATATGAATGAAAGGGTTACTAATGTTGTAAAATTTGCACCAAAGGGATACTAAAGGCAATTTCTGTCTTTAGCTGGCTATGCGGCTTTGGAAGGCAAGGTATATAACCTTTCTAAACCACA
Organism: Homo sapiens; assembly: GCF_000001405.40. Classification (NCBI taxonomy): domain Eukaryota; kingdom Metazoa; phylum Chordata; class Mammalia; order Primates; family Hominidae; genus Homo; species Homo sapiens. The sequence goes on along the minus strand of NC_000012.12, from coordinate 45,120,437 downwards.
GCTTTCATATCAACTTCATGTGGCCCATGTGTATTATTCCTGGATAGGGAATATCATTAATATTCCCACATTTGTATGTAAACTTAAAACAATTATCAGAATTTCATTGCTGTTATTTATTTACTTTATTTATTTATTTTTTGACGTAGTTTTGCTCTTGTGACTCAGGCTGGAGTGCAATGGTGTAATCTTGGCTCACTGCAACCTCTGACTCCTGGGTTCAAGCAGTTCTCCTGCCTCAGCCTCCCGAGTAGCTGGGATTACAGGCACCCACCACCACACCCAGCTAATTTTTGTATTTTTAGTAGAGACGGGGTTTCACCATGTTAGCCAGTTTGGTCTAGAACTCCTGACCTCGGGTGATCCACACACCTCGGCCTCCCAGAGTGCTGGGATTATAGGTGTGAGTCACTGCGGCCGACCATTGTTGTTGTTTTTAACTTATCAAAATAAAGCTAATGTGAAAGACTAAGCATAGAAATACTGTCAAGAAAACTGTGAAAGAAAACAAATAGTAAAGGGGAGCTTACCATACAGATTTTATTAAGTTGGTGCAAAAGTAACTGCAGGTTTTGCAATTACTGGTGTACAGTAATTTGCCAATGGCAAACCCTGCAGTTACTTTTGCACCAACCTAATAAAACTCCCTATATGGCTACTGCAATCAAAATAATATGAATATTGGCTCAAGAATGAACAAATCAATCAGTGGAACAGAACAGAGAGCACAGAAACTGATTCAGGTATTCTTCAAAATAAGTACTTAATATATGATGATGCTGACATTTCAATTTAGTGGGAAAAGGAAGAATTACCTTATAAATAGTGTTAACATAATGGAATATTCACCTGAAAGGAAAAAAATAGATTTGGAACTTACAGCAAATAGAAAGAGAAATTCCAGCTGTATAAATGACCTAGGTAGAGAGATATATAACTACAAAACATCAAACTATAATGAAAGAGACTATGAATGACCTCGGGGGTAGGATAGGGACCCTCATAGGCAAGGCAGAAAAATCCAGAAACCATTAGAAAATATGCATAGACGTGACTACATAATGACATAACATTTCTGAATGGCAAAAGACACCATTATAAAGTTGAAAGACAAATGATAGATTAGGAAAGAATATTTGCCCTATATGTGACAAGGTGTTAATTTTCCTTATAACAGTGACTCTTGCAAATGGATAAAAGACAAGAAATATAATAGAAAAATATGTACACAATTTGATCTAGCAATTCTCAGAAGAGGAATAGGAATACAAATAGCCAATAAATATACGTAAAGATGCTGTACCTCAGTGTAGTCAGGGATATGTAAATTAGAGAAGTAAAGAGATATCATTTTTCATGTATCAGAGATGTAGAAGATTTAAAAAATGGATCAAATTCACTTTGGCAAAAGTGTGGGGAAAATGAATAATTATTAAGCACTATTGGTGAGTATTGACTTGCTAAAACATTTTTGAAAATGATCTGATAATATTAAATTTAAATTTGCATATATTAGGCCTAGAAGTGCTATTTCTCAGAATGTAGCTTACATAAATAAAAGCACTAGTTTTTGAGGAAAAAGCCATGTAAAACTATATTTTTGCATTAAAAAAATGACACCCCCAAACCCTAGATACATCCTGCTTTGCTTAGAATGTGTCCCCCCAAATTCCTGGATTGGAAACAATTCCCAATGCAACAGCGTTGGGAGGTGGGACCTTTAATAGGTGATTAGGTCATGACGACTCTCATGAATGGATTAATGCCATCATCAAAGGAGTGGGTTAGTTATGTGGGACTGGGTTCCTGATAAAAGGATGAATTTGGCCCCCTTGTCTCTCTCTCATTGGTCTTTTGCTCTTCCACCCTTCTGCCATGGGACAATGATGCAGAAGGCCCTTGCTAGATGTGGCCCCTTGGTCTTGGACTTCCCAGACTCCAGAACAATGAGTCAAATAAATTTCTGTTAATTATAAATTACCCAGTCTCAGGTATTCTGTAATAGCACAAAACAGACTAAGACAGACCCTGAATACCTGCCCATAGGAAATGAATTGAATAGATTATGGCTTATTTATACTATAGAATATTATGCAAATATTTACATAAGTCTATGCTCATTGACTTAGAAAAATATTGATGATTTAAGGCCGGGCATGGTGGCTCAGGCCTGTAATCCCAGCACTCTGGGAGGCCAAGGCGGGTGGATCACGAGGTCAAGAGATCGAGACCATCCTAGCTAACACGGTGAAACCCCATCTCTACTAAAAATATAAAAAAATTAGCTGGGCATGGTGGCGGGTGCCTGTAGTCCCAGCTACTCCGGAGGCTGAGGCAGGAGAATGGCGTGAACCCGGGAGGCGGAGCTTGCAGTGAGCCGAGATCGCGCCACTGCACTCCAGCCTGGGGGACAGAGCGAGATTCCATCTCAAAAAAAAAAAAGAAAAATATTCATGATTTATTGTGAATTAAAAAAGCAAGCAGTTAAATAGTATGTATAACATGATTTAATTTTATTTATTTTTAAAATGTTTTGCATATTTTTCTTAAGCCTACGGCACTTAGTATTCCAAGGAGGTCTCCCATCTAAGTACTAATCAGGCTTGACCCTGCTTAGCTTTTGAGATCAGATGAGATAGGGATGTTCAGGATGGTATGGCTGTAGATGATTTAATTTTGATAAAAATAAAAAAGACTACACATATATTTAAAGATAAGACTGTATATATGTGTTGTGTGTGCCTGTGTGTGTGTGCATGCATGCATGTGTGTGTGTGTCTATGTGAGTGGGTGAGTGTGCAGACATAAGAAAGACAGAAAGATACATTCCAAAGTAGGATTCATCTAGGGTTTGGGGATGTCAACACTTCCAAAGTGTTAAAATTGGTCAAAACAGAGGAATGAGATTGGATTGGAGGAGGAGACTTTTTTTTTAAGCTTAATCTCTCTCTTTTTTTTTTTTTTAAAATTATGTCTATAGGTTACTGGTGAACAGGTGGTGTTTGGTTACATGAGTAAGTTCTTTAGTGGTGATTTGTGAGATTTTGGTGCATCCATCACCTGAGGAGTATACACTATACACAATTTCTAGTCTTTTATCCCTCAACCCCTTCCCACTCTTTCTCCATGAGTCCCCAAAGTCCATGTGCCATTCTTATGCCTTTGCATCCTCATATCTTAGTTCCCACTTATGAGTGAGAGCATATAACATTTGGTTTTCTATTCCTGAGTTACTTCACTTAGGATCATAGGAGAATAAAATATATATATATATATATATATTTTTTTTTTTTTTTTTTTTTGAGACAGAGTCTCCCTCCGTCGCCCAGGCTGGAGTGCAGTGGTGCGATCTCGGCTCACTGCAAGCTCTGCCTCCTGGTTCAGGCCATTCTCCTGCCTCAGTCTCCCGAGTAGCTGGGACTACAGGCGCCCGCCACCGCACCCGGCTAATTTTTTTGTATTTTTAGTAGAGACGGGGTTTCACCGTGTTAGCCAGGATGGAGGTCCCGATCTCCTGACCTCGTGATCCGCCCGCCTCGGCCTCCCAAAGTGCTGCGATTACAGGCGTGAGCCACCGCGCCCAGCCAATATTAATTTTTTATATCCCTATATAGCTTGAAATATTACAGAGAGCCTTTATTACTGTTATAGATTGAAATTCATCCCCCAAAATTTATGTTTCAAGTCCTAACCCCCAGTACTTCAGAATTTGACCTATTTGGAAACAGGGTCATTGCAGATATAATTAGTTCTGATGAGATAATATTGGAGTAGGTGCCCTTATGACTGGTATCCTATAAAAAGGGGAAATATGGACACAGAGTCAGATGTACATAGAGGAAAGACAATGTAAAGAGACACAGTGAGAAGGTAGCCATTTATAAGCCACAGAAAGAGGCCTGGAAGAGATCCTTCTCTCTCAGCTCTCAGAAGGAACCAACCCTGCCAGCACCTTGATTTTGGACTTCCAGCCTCCAGAACTGTGAGACAATACATTACTGTTGTTTAAACTATCCAATCTGTGGTACTTTGTTATGGCAACCATAGCAGACAAATACAATTACTGTTGTAATGAAAAACCAATAAAGTATTTTTCAAAAAGCTGACGAATGAAAATAACTTTATTCATTCAAGAAGCATTCATTAACTATCTACAATGTACAAGTGTTCTATTACAAATTTTACTTGATATTCCAGAAATGGTAGAGGGTAAGAATTAGTATCTGCATTTTACAAATGAAGTTCACAGTTCAGTAACTTTTCTATTGTCACACAGCAAATAAGTAGTGGAGTAGGAGTTGGATCCAGGGTTGATTAACTTCAGGACTGGTGCTATAGCTGCTTTTCTATGCTGAATTCTGTTGCTGAATGCTTGATCTCATCACTGTTCATTTCAAATATTTAGTGAGCATTCCTTAAGAAGATAGCTCTCTCCCTCCCTCATGTCGATAATGTCAACATGAGGCACAGAATGAAAATGCCAGAATGAGGTTGCCCACAATGCATGGTATCAAAGTGAAATTATTTTATGGAATCTCCTTTTATTTTATTGTGCTGAAAGGAAAGACAGTGAACAATGGTTATAGCCTTTTCTTGGTGGTTGTTCTCAACATTTCATGTTCATTTTTATCTTGCCAGTTGTCTAAGTTAGAAAGCTAAAAAATAGGAAAACAGAAAAAAAGGTATTTCAGAAGTCATTTGACTTAAGGGTGGTGTGGCTCAATGACACATTTCAGAGTTTTATCAAGGATAAATCAAATAGAAAATAACAATGACCTTGTGATATAAATGTTATACTTTCCAAATCTTTTACTGTAGTCAGAAGGTTTCTTTGTTGTTCTAACTACTTGAAAAGGGCACTCTGATTGCCTCGTCTAGTAAGTCTAGTGATGGCAATTAGGCATGTTGGATACTAATTATTTTATGCTGCTATTTATGAATAAACACTTACTCATCCTTAACATCCAGCTCAATTATTACTTTCCATCATACTCTCTCAGGTCAGTTTCTCGCATCCTGTTCTTTGCACCAATAACATTTTTATATATAGAATGTACAATACATTCTTAACAGCATGTATATTCTTAATAACATATGATTTACATACTAAAATTTCCTGCTAAATTATAAATTTGTAAAGTTTTGAGATCACTCTTGTTCATCAGCATCTCAAAACCTGACATATAATAAATGATCAAGAGAGCAGAGAGAATTAGAGGTAGAGGGTACACTAGGAATGGAATGACAGAAAAGCAACTTTGCCAGCAAACCTAAGACTGCCTCATTGTTTATCTCTCCCAAATGCACTACACTTCCAGTTGGCATGGTTTGCAGGTCATTCCCTCTTGCAAATGCATTCTCCTCTTCCCATCCTTCTTCTGTCTCTCTCCCTGGCAAAATACAGTTATCAGTATTAGTAGCAGTACTAGTTCTGTTACTAGTACTGGTAATAGCTATGCTGGTAATAGCCAAGACTTATACAACATTTACTGTGTCGGGTGTTGTCCCAAGTTCTTTATATATACTAATTTAATCTTTAAGATAAATCTTTTAGAAAAACTATATTATTAGCCCCCTTCAACAAGTGATAAAACTAAGGTACAAAGAGATTAACTTGACTACTTGCCTGAGGCAACATAGCTTGTAAGTGGTGGAACCAGAATTTGACCTATGCAATCTGGTTCCAGAGTCTGTGCTCTTAACCACTATGCCTTCTTTTTTTTTTTTCATGGCAGTTCTCTCTTTTGCTTTTTTTTTTTATTATTATACTTTAAGTTTTAGGGTACACTATGCCTTTTTAACCAAGGAAACTGGATCTGTAATTGATAGAGTGATCTAATTATCAATTACCTATCATCTATTTATTTTATTAATTACCTTTTTCTATATATAAAAATTATTTGTAATTACAGTCAGGCACTGCATGACAATGCTTTGGCCAATGATGAAGCACATATATATGATGGTGATCCCTCAAGAGTATAATGGAACTGAAAAATTCCTATTGTCTAGTGATGTTATAATGTCACAGCACAATACATTACCTTTTCTATGTTTCAATATATAAATACTTACCATTGTGTTACAATTGCCTGCGGTATTTTGTACAGCAACATGCTGTACAGGATTGTAGCCTAGGAGCAATGGGCTATACCACATAGCCTACATGTGTAGGCTTGTGTAAGTACATGCTATGATGTTCACACAATGACAAAATTATCTAACAACACACTTCTCAGGATGTATTCCTGTTATTAAGTGATGCATGACCATAGGTGTTTTTTTTCTTTCTTTTTTTTTTTTTGACAGAGTCTCACTCTGTCACCCAAGTTGGAGTGTAGTGACACAATCTTGGCTCACTGCAACCTCTGCCTCTCGGGTTCAAGCAATTCTCCCACCTCAGCCTTCTGAGTAGGTGGGATTACAGGCACCCGCAAACACGCCCAGCTAATTTTTGTATTTTTAGTAGAGACTGGGGGGTTTTCACCATGTTGGCCAGTCAAACTCCTGAACTCAAATGATTTGCCCGCCTTGGCCTCCCAAAGTGCTGGGATTACAGGTGTGAGCCACTGCGCATGGCCTAGTTTTTAATTGTTTTAAATTAAAATGTATAAATATATCATTTCATTGTCAAACTTTCAATGTGGAGCCAAGGCTTTTTCTTTGCTGATGAACATTCCTGATATGGTTTGGCTGTGTCCCCACCCAAATCTCATCTTGAATGATACTTCCATAATTCCCACATGTTGTGGGAGGGACTTAGTGGGAGATAATTTGAATCATAGGGGCAGTTTCCCCCATGCTGTTCTTGTGGTAGTGAATAAGTCTCATGCGATGTGATAGTTTTATCAGGGGTTTTTTATTTTGCATCTTCCTCATTTTCCCATGTCGCCTCTGTGTCAGAAGTGCCTTTCACCTCCTGCCATGATTCTGAGGCCTCCCAGCCATGTGGAACTGTAAGTCCAGTTAAACCTCTTTTTCTTCCTAGTCTCGGGTATGTCTTTATCATCAGCATGAGAACAGACTAATACAATTTCTCATAGTTCCTATTGCATTATCTGTGTCCTTTTCGCACCGTTTTACATTTAGTTTTGATTTCATTTGATTTCAAGATGAGTAGAAATTTAATGCCCTTGCAAAGTAATATGAGTGCAAAATCCATCTAGATGTCTATAATTTTCTTCCAGTTACTTATAGGTGTCTTACCTATATCTGATGTAAGCACAATTTCAATTTTTTTATAATGGCTATTATATGAAGTCTTTCCAAAGCATTAGCTTTTATAGACCTTCAGTTCTCTTCATTTTCATGCTGAAATAGAACTGGCTTGTATAATATTTAATTACATTGAGTAACTACAATAGTAAGTACAACTGGCATAAACACTGGGGAATCAACACTCTTGACTCTTGAAAAGCATACAAATGCTCAAGTGAGAGAAGTTTTGAGGCATACCAGTGGGTGGGGTCCTACACAAGCAACCACTAGCCATGCTTATCAGGCAGTCTGTTTATAGAGGTGCCAGAGATTCGGTTAGTCTGGTGTCAAGTGGAGTCGATTGAGTGTTAATGTATTTTGTATCCACTGAGGCCAGTTATCTATTTCCTCCTCTGCAAGCCTTCTTTGGCCAACTTCCTTCACTATAGAGAGGTAATCACTTCCTTTTCTGTGACTCTACAGTAGTTTAAAATGTTTCTATTGTATACTTATCATTTTTAAATGTAATTAAAAAATGTAGCTCTTCCCCACTAGAATGTGAACTAAATTTTACATCTCCAGTGGATAGCACATCTCCTGACACATCATAATTTAATGAAGACTTGTTAAAGAAAACGTGCTCCACAGGTAACTAAGAAAGACCTAGAGCTATGATTACTAACTGTGTGTAATTTTTACCCTAAGAACTTCTCAAACCTCAAGTAAAGTTGCTTTGTGAATTTCACAAAGCTCCTGCCCTACAACATTGCAATTCTATGACTAAGATATCCCTCCCTCCTTTTTCCATAGATAATCGTATGTAAATTGTACAACATATTTTCTCTCTACAGCTATGAAGTCTATTTCATTTTCCTAACTATAGATTCCCATATTTAAATTCTAGGTGGCAGAGTTTTCCTAGAAAACTACAAATTACTATCAGTTCTTGCTGTCTTTATAAAGGAGTCCAAGTCTTTAGAATAAAACATGAAATCTCATATTTTTATTTAGCCTTTGATGGAAATATTGTGGGTAGCTACTGAATGTTTATGTCAACTAACTGATTGTTACTGCCATTTAAAATATTCAATTTCCAAAAGAGTAATAGATTGTATAAATCTATTCCGTAGGGAGAGCATATGTTTTAAGGTGTTTTTTGTTTTTTTAAAGAAAATGCTTCGAAGCCATTGGCATAGGCACACCACAAACAATTTAGTGAAGAAACATTTCAATAGAGAAAAAGGAAGCAAACTTTGATGAGGTTGACCACTATTTCAGCTAAACTGCTGACCTAGTGAAGTCTGTATTATTAGTGAAGTATCATTAATAAGTTTTTTAATGGGATGAGTCCCACATTTTTTCTCCTTTGCTGGTATTATAAAAAAACTATATATGTTTGGCTTCGGTCATGATATATTAACTCTTTTTACAATGACTTCCTTCATATACCTTATTGCTGGTATAATCTACAATTGATGGTTTGAGAGAAAGAGAGTAAAGAAATGAAAAAGACAAAAAAGCTTAGGAAATACAGTAACATAATATTTATGAGAATTCTTTACCAACAAAATTATTTTTTGTTTTCAATTATAGTAGTAATCTTGCTGATTGTTTTTCTATTTTAGTTTTATTGGGCTAAGACAACATCCTTTTCTTTATAACTTTACTTTTTTTTTTGAGACAGTCTCACCCTGTCCCCCATGCTGAAGTACAGTGGCACAGTCATGGATCACTGCAGCCTCAACCTCTCCAGGCTCAGTTAATCCTCCCCACTCAGCCTCCCAAGTAGCTGGGACTACAGGTGTGTGCCACCACACCTGGCTAATAGTATTTTTTGTAGAGATGGGAGTTCGTCAGGTTGCCCAGGCCAGTCTTGAACTCCTGGGCTCAAGTGATCTGCCTGCCTTGGCCTCCCAAAGTGCTAGGATTACAGTGTGATATAACTTGACATTTTAATATTCAGTAAGTAATACTCTCATGTATACATATTTGTAAAGGTTAAGAGTCTCATTTTGGTAACGTGGTGATGACGGAGTTCTCTAGAGGGACAAAACAAAGGGGAGTTTATTAAGGAGTATTAACTCACACGATCACAAGGTCCCACAAGGTGTGCAAGCTCAGGAGTAAGGAAGCCAGTCTGAACCCCAAAGCTGAAAAACTTGGAGTCCGATGTTCGATGGCAGGAAGCATCCAGCATGGGAGAAAGATGTAGGCTAGGAGACTAAGCCAGTCCGGTCTTTTCGTGTTCTTCTGCCTGATTTTTATTCTGGCCTCACTAGAAGCTGATTAGATTGTGCCCACCCAGATTAAGAGTGGGCCCTCCTTTCCCAGCCCACAGACTTAAATGTTAATTTCCTTTGGCAACACCCTCGCAGACACACCCAGGAACAATACTTTGCTTCCTTCAATCCAATCAAATTGACACTCAGTATTAGCCATCACATGACCTCATTCGAGAAAACAAGTGAAGGTGGACCACAGAGGGTGAGGAAGCCTTCTGAGAGACCCATCAAGTCCTCATTACAGAAAACTGAAGAGAACTGTCTGCAAATATAGTCTTAATTTCTTAGCTTCCAAACCAAATCTTATGAGAAGATTCCTTTTGTTTCAAGGATAAACATACAAATCTGGAAAACAGTATTTTTTGGTGTTTGTCAGAACTATCCCTGGGCAATGGCAAATTGCGTCATTTTCCTGGATTCCTTGCATTACCTTCTTGCTGATGCTCCCATTTCCACCTCCCTAAACACATGTACACAATGCCTGGAATGAGCTGGAGTGGAAGGATAAATTTACAGACTGTTTATTTATAGAGCTTGTATTCTAGTTGGGGAGATAGCCAAAAAAAAAATTAATATATTGACATATATCAGGTAGGAATCAGTGCTCTGAAGAAAATTAAATAGGAAGAGGGACTAGACAGTCATAGGGCACATGTCTGTATAGATAAGCATTTGTATGTGCATACCTGCATACGTGTGTGTCTTTGTGCATGTGTGTGTGTGTGCGCGCACGGGGGGTGGGTGGCAGTATCTTGTAAGGTGACATTTGAGCCAAGACCTGAAAGAATGAAAGGAGTGAGCTTTGTAATACCACACTCAGACTCAGGCAAGAGGGCAGCGTCCCTGGGCTCAGCACACTAGAGGTCCCCACCTATCACAAACACACACAAAGACATTTATTAAAGAATACATGGCACTTCTGTTACCCAGGGTCAGGCATAGGTGCTTGCATAGCACAGTTCATGACCTTAAACATCTCTGCTTGTGAATAAAACTCCTCAGGCCCCAGGGAAACTCCTGTCAAAAATCTCTTGTTCTGTGACTTCATAACAAGAGGCAATAATGTCCTAATGCCATAAGGACAAGTGAGTTGTGCTGAGGTGCTAAAATTAAAAAAAAAAATTACTGTAATTGTTAACTCCTTCCTCTTAGAAAGGAATAGATCCTTGCAAAATGACAAATTAGTTCCCAGTAGTGCTAAGTACATGTCCATTTCCTTCCTGTCTTTCCCTTGTATTCTGGTTTGTGGTTTTGAAGAAATTAATTAGTTTCACTTAATTCCAAATTAAATTAATTATAATTAATTCCATTTTCTACATTAAATGGACATTGAATATTACAATTGTATGTAGTTTATATGTATAAAAATATTTAGTACATTTTAAGTGAATTTTCAAAAAATGAAATAAAATTTTACCTTTATTTAAATAATTTTATTAAGATTTTGATGTTCATTTGTTATCATTGATAATGTACTTTCTAGTTTTAATAAATAATTTAACATTTAAAAAATAACTTCTTTGAAAGCCTGAAGAATAATTTCAATGTTTTTACATTTAATTTGCCTTTTTCATTAAAATTTATTCTAATTTTGTGCATTTTGAATATAATTACATTATATTTCATCCTTTAGATCAGTATGGTCAACAAAACATGGATTGTTGTGAAAATTTTGATTACAAAACATAGTGATTTTGCTGAAATGAAAGGAAGAAAGAAGTTTAATGGATAAAACATATAATAATTTCTGAATTATGTAGGTCTTTATCTTATTAAGTCTCTAAACATTGCTGTTCCATCAATAGAACACCTAGAGATGCACAAGAATTATTAAAATTAATGAACATTGATGTTTGGCCTACTATATTATATAATAGCCATAGCTTTACCCTTAAAAAATTGTCATCATGAACATTTGTCAAGGAAAGAGAATAGAGTACACTTTATTTGGCAGTTTGTTATCTTGCCTTATCATTTCAAACATAAAATAAGGAGCCTTTTTTTTCACTTTTGCCCTGGGCCCTGCAAAGGCGAGGAGCAAGTCTAGCACCTGCAAAGATCTGAGGAAAGAATGTTCTGGATTGAGGAAAGAGCAAGCACAAAGGCCTCATCAGTCCACTTGAGCAGCTGTAACAAAACACCATACACTGGGTGCTTCCACAACAGAAAGTTACTTTCTCACAGTTCTGGAGGCTAGAAGTCTGTGATCAGGGTGCCAGCATGGCTGGGCTTCAGGGATGGCCGTCTTCCTTGCTTGCAGATGGCCATCTTGCTTTGTCCTTGCATGGCAGAGAGAGTGTGAGCAAGCAAGCTCTCAGGTGTTTCTTCTCATAAGGGCTCTAGCCTCATCACGAGGGCTCCACCCTCATGATCTCATGTAACTCTAAGACCTTCCAAGGGCCCCATCTCCAAATAATATTGCATTGGAGGTTAATATTTTAACATATAAACTTGAGTTGGGGGCAGGTGGGTACAAAATTCAGTCCCTAGCAGGCCCTGATGTAAAAACAAGCATGGCATCTTTGGGAATCAGCAAAATGGCCAATTTCAGCCAGAGTTAGATGAGCAAAAGATGGTATGAAACAAACCAGATGAGCAGGAGGCCACAAGTCCAAGAGGCAGGCAGTGCCAGGTGATCTAGGTGTGCCATTATAAGAAATCCAGATTTAGTTCCAGTGTGATGGGAAGCCTTTGGAGAATTGAGAGCTGGGAAGTGACAATAAGTATATTTTAAAGAAAATCACTTAGGTTGCTACAGAAAGACAAAACTGGAAATGAAAGGAGTCAGTAGTCTATTATAATAATCCAGACAAGAGATGATGGTGGCTTGAACTAGGGTAGAGGTGCCAAAAAACAGCCCAAATAGCCAAAGCAATGCTAAGCAAATTTAACAAAGCCAGAGACATCACACTACCTGACTTTCAACTATACTATAAAGCCACAGTAAACAAAACAGCTTGGTGCTAGTACAGAAACAGACACATTGACCAATGAAACAGAATAGAAAACTTGGAAATAAAGCCACACACTTACAGCCATCTGATCTTTGAGAAGGTCAGCAAAACAATGGGGAAAGGACTACCTATTCAATAAATGGTGCTGAGATAACTGGTTCGCCATATGCAGTAGATTGAAGCTGGACCCCTACCATTCACCACATACAAAAATTAGCTATAATACTTATATAATGTAATATAAAACCTCAAACTATAAAAAGCCTGGAAGACAACCTAGGAAATACTCTTCTCGACATTGGCCTTGGCAAAGAATTTTTGGCTAAGTCCCCAAAAGCAATGGCAACAAAACCAAAAATAGACAAGTGGGATCTAATTAAACTAAAGTGCTTCTGCACAGCAAAAGATACTATCAGCAGAGCAAACAGATAACCTGGAGCATGGAAGAAGATATTTGTAAACCATGCATCTGACAAAGGCCTAATATCCAGAATTTATAGGGAACTTAAACAAATCAACAAGTAAAAATACCCCAAATAACCCCATTAAAAAACGGGTGAAGGGCATGAAGAGACACCTCTCAAAAGGAAACATACAAGTGGCCAACAGACACATGAAAAAATGCTTAGCATCACTAATCATCAGAAAGATGCAAATCAAAACCACAGTGAGATACAATCTCACACCACCCAGAATGGCTATTACTAAAAAGTCAAAAAACAGCAGATGCTGGAGAGGCTGCAGAGAAAAGGGAACACGTATACACTGCTGGTGGGAATGTAAATTGGTCCAGCCACTGTGGAAAGCAGTCTGGAGATTTCTCAAAGAACTTAAAACAGAGCTACCATTTGACTCAGCAATCCCATTTCTGGGTAACTATCCAAAGGAAGATACATTATTCTACCCAAAAGATACATGTACTCATATGTTCATTGCTGTGCTATTCACAATAGCAAAGACTTGGAATCAACCCAGGTGCCCATCAATGGTAGATTGGATAAAGAAAATGTGGTACATGTATACAATGGAATACTATGCATTCATAAAAAGTGAAATCATGTCCTTTGCAGCAACATGGATGGAGCTGGAAGCCATAATCCTAAGCAAATTTATGCAGAAACAGAAAACCTGCTACTACATGTTCTTACTTATAAATAGGAGATAAACACTGAGCATACATGGACATAAATTTGAGAACAATAGACACTGTGGACTGTTAGAGTGTGGAGGGAAGGAGAGAGGGCTGGGTTAAAAACTACTTATTGGATACTATGCTCACTACCTGGGTGATGGGATCCATACTGCAAACCTCAGCATCATGCAATATTCCCATGTAACAAACCTGCACATGGACCCCCCTGTATCTAAAATAAAAGTTGATATTAAAAACAAAACAAAACCAAAAACTCCTAGAAGATAACACAGGAGAAAATCTAGATGCTCCTGGGCAACATGATGACTTTTTAGCTCCAGGAAAGAAATAATTGATAAACTGGACTTCATTAAAATTAAATTTTTGTTCTGTGAAAAATACTGTCAACAGAATGAGAGGTTAAACCACAGACTAGGAGAAAACATTTGCAAAGGATATACCAGATAAAGAATTCAAGAGAATACATTCACGATATACAGATAACTTTTAGAATGCAATGAGAAATGAACAAACTAATGAAGAAATGGGCAAAAGATCTGAACAGGCTAGGCACGGTAGCTCACACCCATAATTGTAGCACTTTGGGAGGCCCAGGCGGGTGAATCACTTGAGGTCAGGAGTTTGAGACCAGCCTGGCAAACATGGTGAAACCTCGTCTCTACTAAAATTAGCCGTGCATGGTGGTGCGTGCCTGTAGCCACAGCTACTCAGACGGCTGAGGCAGGAGAATTGCTTTAACTTGGGGGGCAGAGGTTACAGCGAGCTGAGATTACACCACTGTGCTCCAGCCTGGGCGACAGAGTAAGACTCTGTCTTAAAAAAAAAAAAGATCTGAACAGACGCCTCAGAAAAGAAGATACACAGATGGCAAATAAGGATATGAAACGATACTCAACATCATATGTCATTAGGGAACTGCAAATTTGAACAACAAGATTCTACTTTTATCTATTAGAATAGCAAAAGTCCAACACACTGACAACATCTAATTCTTACGAGGATGTGGAACATCAGGAACTCTCATTAATTGCTGATGGAAATGCAAAATGGTACAACCACGACTGAAGAAACAGTTTGGTAGTTTCTTACAAAACTAAACATGCTGTTACCATATGATCCAGCAATTGCATTCCTTGTTATTCACTCAAATGAATCAAAAAGTTAAGCCCACACAAAAACCTGCACCCAAATGTTTATAGCAGCTTTATTCATAATTGCCAAAACTTGGAAGTATGTCCTTCAGTAGGTGAATAAGTAAATAAACCGTAGTACATTTAGACAATGGACTGTTATTCAGCACTAAGAGGAAACGAGTTATCAAGCCATGAAAAGACATGGAGGAACCTAAAATACGTACTATTAAGTGAAGAAGCCAATCTGAAAAGGCTACATACTGTATGATTCCAACTATATAACATTCTGGAAAAGGCAAAATCATAAAGACAAGTAAAAAGATGAGTGGTTGCCAGGGGCTGGGAAAAGGGATGATTTTTAGGG
The DNA here is from genome assembly GCF_000001405.40 of Homo sapiens. Lineage (NCBI taxonomy): Eukaryota > Metazoa > Chordata > Mammalia > Primates > Hominidae > Homo > Homo sapiens. The sequence continues at coordinate 45,105,354 of NC_000012.12, read as the reverse complement.
CAGTGAAACTATTCTCTGTGATACTATTATAGTGGATACATGTCATTAATACATTTGTCAAAACTCTTAGAATATAAAACACCAAGAGTGAACTCTAATGTGAACTATGGACTCTGATTTATAATGATGTGTCAGTGTAGGTTCATTGCTTGTAATAAATGTACCACTCTGGTTTAGGATGTTGACAGTGTGTGTCTGTCAGGGGCGAGGTGGGGAAAAGTAGAGGGTGTATGGAACTCTGTACTTTCAATTTTGCTGTGAACCTAAAACTGCTCTAAAAATAAACTCTGTTAAAAATCATTTCAGTCATCACTGTCCTTCATTTCCTAAAGTTAAATGTCTTGAAAATCATTGTTTCATATGTGTGTGTGTGTGTGTGTGTGTGTGTGTGTGTGTGTATGTGTGTGTATGTGTGTATGTGTGTGTGCCTGATGGGAGGATAAATCTGGTCCCTATTACTCCATCTTAGCTGGAAGTGGGAGTACCTCTTTTCTAACATCTGTGTGGGTCTCACTTCTAAAAGTATATGAGAAGAAATGAATCACACACTTCTTTTAGAATAAAAACTGCCCCTCTGTATGTTTAAGCCAGGAAGTATAAATCTAAATTCCTTAAAGAGCTGCTAATTGTAGGGAAACATTTAGAAACAGTTTACTAATAGGCATAACCAGGTGTTATGGCCAATTTCAAAGAAGGCAAAGTCTTCAGTACAACCCCACTCTCCTAGGTTGGGTCTTCCTCCCCACAGCCATTGTCTTTGGGGCCTCCTGGCTCTCCAGAATTCTTTTCACATCCTACTTTACTCAAGACTCTACTCTCTTTTGGTTCAAGCAATTTGCTCTGGACCATGTCTTGCTCTTGGCTAATACGTATCAGAGAGAAAATGGATATTATTGGGTAAATGTATTGCGTCAGCATTTTAATGGGCATCTGTTAAAAACTGTCTTTTTTTTTTTTTTTGAGACAGAGTCTCCCTCTGTCGCACAGGCTGCAGTGCAGTGGCATGATTTTGGCTCACTGCAATCTCTGCCTCCTGGGTTCAAGAGACTCTCGTGCCTCAGCCTCCAGAGTAGCTGGGACTACAGGCCCCCGCCACCATGCCTGACTAATTTTTGTATTTTTAGTAGAGACGGGATTTCATCATGTTGGCCAGGCTGGTATCAAACTCCTATCCTCAATAATTTGCCTACCTTGGCCTCCTAAAGTTCTGGGATTACAGGCGTGAGCCACCACACCTGACCAAAAACTGTCTTAATGCACAGCCATGACTCCAATTACAGAAGTTCTAGACATTCTGGCAGGCTGGTGGAGATGATATTTTTAGGTAGCTAAGAGTTTCTATGTTCCTGTATTGCACACATTGGGCTAGGTCCTAGGGCCCTTTCTTTAGGGTCAACCCCATCAACAGATAACTTGCTTTTGGTTTCTCTTCATTATTAAAAATTAATTGGCTTCCATTTCTAAATTTCTCTGTATTTCTTTGAAAATGACAACAAGTAAAATAATGTCATTTTCCCTCCATCTTTATTAGTCAAAGAGAAATGACGGCAGTTAACCACAGCACTTAAGAGCTTTGGTGTAGTTTTTGGTTTGTAAATATCCTTGCTTTATGTATTTGAATTTTGAAAGTAGTTATCTGAAACCTGTGAGGTTTTTCAACTAATTGAACCTAGTCTAATTTTACAAATATGAAAGTGACATTCCACTAACCTCCAAAAATTTGTGGATGGGGCAGACTGCTGGAAATCAAATCAATAATGCAAAGTGAAATGGGAAGTTAGCAGTTAGTAATCTATTGAAAGTTCGTAAGAATATATATTAGCTGAACAATTTGACAATGTCCTGCCTGAAATTTATGAGTAAATGCCAATTTTTCACTTTTGTGACAATCAAGTCATAGAAAAAGAGGGGAGTTGGGAAGTTATGACTAACATTTCCTAAACATATCCCTCAGGTGTGGAGTATGTAGAGAATACTGTGGCTGTGTCTTTGGTGTTGGGGAATAGGAACGTAAAACAGCAGAAGTAGAGACACAGTCCTGTCCTCAAATAATTTATAACCTATTTCAGTCAGTTCCAAAGAAAGGTATTTCATTAACCCAGCAAGAAAATAAAAACATGAAAAGTGAAGCAGCATACAATATTTTTACTGGTTCATACCCCTAGGTCTTCCCATTCTTACCCATGAGAGAGTGAGTGATGATGTCGTTAATGTTAATTTACAAATCAAACCATGGAGTGCAGATTTTTCAGATCTCAGGTCTGCAGCTTTCATTGCATCATATGAACTGAAGTTCCACTGTAATAAAAGACAAGGGTTATTGTGATGAGCCAACAACTCCATGGATGAGGGAGTCTGGTGAAAGGGTCCTATATTTACACAAGTGGTTCTGCCTTATGATCTCATCTTCAGTGTGGTGATGTTTTACTTATTTCAAAGCAAGAATATCTACCTTATCCAATAAAAGAAAAATCTCTGTTTCATTTTGAGAAAATGTTCATTTAAGTATATAAACTGTATAACCAATATGAAGAATATAATGCATTTCTCTTATATGAGTATTAGATACTAATGGTATCCTAATTATTTATATGGGCAAGAGATTTTCAATATCTAAAACTAACTATAGATTTACAGATAGTCAAACAGTTGCATAACTTTCTATTGTAATTTATTATTTGCTGTTGGAAAGCAAATTCATTTATTGTAACCAAAAGATGTGTTACAGGGTTATTTCATACATGGGAGATTTTCAAAGTCCTGCAATGATGACATTGATATAGTGCCACTACTCTGTTATAACCTTTGTATATTATTTAAGTGTAACAAATACTTCATTCATTGCTTGCCCTAAACTTTGCATTTGGTGACATTCTTGCTGCTGTGTTAATATCAGGTCTATTAAGCTGGACCTCATGGTCCATTACCCTTTCTTTAGATTTGACCCCATGAAGTTTAGGGGTCTTGAGCACAGTGTGAAAAAGCAAAGGGTTTCACTCTCACCCAAGGAGCTCATTAGGACTTTATAGAAACACAATAAATACTCACACAGTACTAACATTTGCACTGAGGGATGCTCACCAGACACACAGCCTGGTGTCAGAAGGTGTCCATTGTTCCCTTTATTTAGGCCTGCACACTGATTTAGCCTGCTAACTAAAGAGAGTGCTCATTTGTAAGCTGGCATTTTTTTTCTTTGTAAGAAAGATTCATTTACTGGTATCTTAGCTTTGTGGGATTTTTTTCCACCTTTCTCTGTCTTGATCCATTTCTTAATGCTTCTACTTAAATTTTGAATTGCATAATTTAAATCAACCTCCACAATCCATGAAGGAATTCCAGTGAGAACTGCTGACAGCAATATCTGTACTGGAGACCTTTATTCTCTCATAAACTACAATGTATTATAATTCATCAAACCCATTTGCCTTATTAAATACAGTCTTATAATGCAAGTAAATATTACTAGGTTGGTTTAGAGGAGAACTGCCGCCAACAAAGCTACTTTAGCTTTAATTTTAAAGTCCAGTATGCATTAAGCCTCTGCTACACCTTCCAAAATTTTTATATTTGATAGTAAAAAGTTGTGTCATTACATAGACCAAGGAAATTTTTATCATATTATTATGCTCAACCACTACCATAACAAAGGTTTCCCTCTTTAAAATACATTTCATTCTGACAGTGTCATGATTTTCTTCCAGGGTTGGGTAGACGGCATGAAATGGGATTTGTCTCCAGAAGTAGAAGCAGCTTGTGAGTGTGAAGTCTTTTTTTCTAGGGATGGCTTTTATGGGTAAGGTTGGAGACTAACTCTACTATTCAAATTAATCAGACTTTGTTGGGCAGAATGCTTCTGGAACCCCTGCAAAGACTCTTTTCCTCTTCAGCAAATTACTTAATGAAAACACCAGATTACACAAAACAAAAGGGTTTTTCCCATTTACGTCAATCAAGCTTTGATGGTTTTGTTTTTATTTCTACAAGAAGAAAATAATGGGACAATTTTGTTTTACAAAGTCTGGATTCATTGCCTCACCTGTGCATAACTTTCCAAGAAAATTTCACTGGAGGTTTGAGAAAAGTATGGGCAACTCAACAATTTCCAGTTAAAGACTCATCCAGTGATGAGACTCAAATACAAGCTCAATACAAACTCAAATACAATGAGACTCAAATACAAGCTAAAATAATCATCGTATTTTACCAACTAGCTACTCTTCAAAGAGAAAAGTGACTTAGAATATAGGGTGTGCTTCTCTGTGACATATGCGAAGAACATTTACTGATCCTTTACTATGTGTTAGAACTCTGCAATTCATATTATGGATCCAAAAATGAACAAGACTACTCTAGCTGTCACCAGCCTGGTGGGTAGACCCAACAGACCATCATATGACAAAGCAACATAGGCCATTAATGGAGACTGGGCTGGAGGTAGAGAGAGGTAAAGGGGATGGAAGAAGAAGGGGAGAGCTAAGCGTTGAAAGAGAACTTCCCCAACAGTTAGTGGGGAAAAACATTCTGAGCAGGTGATACAGCAGGAGGAAAGACACACAGGTATGAAAGTTCATGAGGTATTTAGGGAGTAGCTTGTATGGTATGCTGAAGCAGAAAGCTGGGAATTGGAGAAGTGATGAGAAGTGTACTTGGAAAAGTAGTTTGGGGCCAGAGTGCGAAGGGCTCTGGATATCATGCTAAAAAGGAATTTGGTATTTCTTCTTGATGGCACTTAAGAATTTTGGGGATCCATGAAAGGGAATGAAAGAAACCATTACCATGGCCAGGTGGATGCTTTAGGAAGACAACTGATGGCAAAGAAGAGGATAATTTGGAGAGGAGAGTGATTCATTTATGGAGAATGACAGACTCTTGCAAGAATCCACGTAGGCAATCCATGAAGGTCTAAACGAAGGAAGTGGAAAAGGATAAGAAACTGTATATTTAAAAGGCATTTATGAAGTGGAATTAATATAACCTACAATCAACTGCATATGGAGATAGGCAGCAAGAGAGAAAAGAAAGTGGAGATAAGTCTGAAGTCTCTAGGCTGAGTGATTGTGTAAATAGTAATATCTAAGGCTAGGTTTTATGGGGTATATGGTAAGTAGGGTTTTTGACAAAGCTGAGTTTGAGAAAGTAAGCGGAAAAAGTCTATAGGTTATGGAAAACATGTATCTAGAATTCAGGAGAAATGTCAGGATGGTGGTAGAATCATCTTCACAGAAGTATTATTAAAACTGAAAGTCGTAGTAGATGAAATCATCCAGGGAGAGAGGGACAGGGATCACAGAAAGATTTTATGTCGCTTATCATCTCCAAATGATTGATAGCTTTCTCAGGTGCTGTGTTGGGAAAGAATTTAAGGCTACCATCAGGCAGAGTGGGAAGGAGTTCCATGAATGATGAGTAGTATCTGCCATTGGCTCCAGAGAGGGAAGTGATTGCACCTATATCAGATGTTAGATACTGGAAGAAACTTCAGCGCAAACTTCTGGAAAACACCAATCCTTAAGGGATGGTGGGAAAGTTGTGCTGGCAAAAGAGAATAAAAAGAGCAGTCTGAGTCAGCAGAGAAACAGACCGCTATATGGTTCCTGTGGATCTCATATTCAGTAAATATTTACTAAAGGAATGGATGAGTTAATAAAATCAAGTGTTGACAGTTGTACTGCAATTGGAGCAACAGAATAAGCCAGCAGCATGATTCATAACAACCAGCAATTACTTAAAGAGTGTAATTGGATTGTTTGTAACTCAAAGGATAAATGCTTGAGGGGACGGATACCCCATTCTCCATGATGTGCTTATTTCACATTGCATGTCTGTATCAAAACATCTCATATGCCCCATAAATATATACACTTGCTATGTACCCACAAAAAAATTTTAAAAAGTAACATAAAATAAAATATCCAGTAATTATAATAAATATGGTGAGATAAGAAAGTCCAGAGAAGGAAGAAATCACATCTATTTTTATTGCAGAAGGGAAGATCAGAAAGGACTCTTTGGAAAAGGTAGGATTTGCATTGACCCTTAGAGGAAGAACACATACAATTTTAGTCAGCCAGTGGGCAGTAGAAGTTAGGCAGTACAGATAACTCGAACAAGGGTGAAGGAGGGAAAGTTGTGGCAGGTTCTGGGACAGAATATGAACCAATTGTATAATAGAAGACACTTGGGGAATCTTGAGTCTCTGACTCTTCTTGTCAGCACCCTGTCTTACTCAGCCTCACCCCTCTGTGTCTCCTTGGCTTTGGGTCAGGCATTGGCCACTTGGAGTTCTGCCAACAGAGAAAGAAGCATCCCGGTGCCCCCCGTGTCTGTTTCTATCTCTTATGCTTCATAATGCTCTATGATGATGCCAGCAAGAGGTTTAGGAAGCCAGCTTCCCCAGCTGTTTGAAGGAAGAATTTGCTGATGTAAGTCTGAAAACCTCAGAGGACCTGAAACAAAAGAATGATCACTAAAAATGGGAAGGCAGAAATTAGTTATTTAGCCTGTGTTGTGAGGAGGTGCTCAGGAGGGACTCCAATATTGATTTCTGGTCTTTTGGTAGCTTTAAGGATTAAAAACCATGATTTATCTTTGGATAAAGTTCTCCCTTTTTTTCTAGGAAGAACACTTTTTTTTTTTTGGTAAGAATTTTAACCATGCAGATGTGATGTTGCGCCCTACTTATTGTTCTAGCAGAAGCTCTGAGTTGGTAACACAAACTCAGCTTAGTAGCCCTGCTTGTGAGTAAATGCTGGACTTTTGACTTTCATTTCCCAGAATTTGGTATAAGCTTTTTGATGGCAAGATTTACATTTTATTTTTCTTTTTATCTCCAAAAAACCTAGCATTTTACTTTGCTCAATACATTATACTGTGTCGACTGAATATTGCCTGGCCATCTACTTTACTCAGCATTATTTGACCACGTAACATTGAAGTAGATAAGGCTCTTGCATTAGTCTGTTCTCATGCTGCTAATAAAAACATACCCGAGGCTGGGTAAGTTATAAAGGAAATAAGTTTAATTGACTCACAGTTCCACATGGCAGGGTGGAATTCAAGATGAGATTTGGGTGGGGATACAGCCAAACCATATCAGCTCTGAAAAAGGTTGACATCATCTCCTGGGGATAATGGTTTAAATAATACTTATTTTTAAAGGTATGAAATTAATATATATTTCACAATAGCCAAAAGTTGGAAACAACTCAAATGTCCATCAATAGATAAACGGATAAACAAAATGTGATAGATACATACAATGGACTGTTATTCAGCCATAAAAGGAAATGGCATTCTGATACATGCTGTAACATGAATAAACCTTAAAAACATTATTCTAAGTCAAAGAAGCCAGACATAAAAGACTGCATCTTTTATGATTCCATGTATATATAAAATATCTGGAATAGGCAAATCCATAGAGACAGAAAGCAGATTAGTGGTTGCCAGGAACTGGAGAGAATGGAGAATGGGAAGTAAATTCACATTGTACAAGGAGTTTTCCTTTTGAGGTGATGAAGAATTTCTGGAACTAAATAATAGTGATGGTTGCACAAGATCATGAATGAACTTAATACACTGAACTGTACATTTAAAAATGGTTAAAATGGCATATTTTATGTTATGTGTATCTTACTAAAATAAAAAATAAACTATAAAAGTTAGTTTCATGTTCATTTAGAAAATTTATCTCCCAAAAAATTACATTCCTTGAGAGTTAGGGTTGCCAGATAAAATACTATACATATAGTAAAACCTATTCATTGTCTACCTGAAATTCAAATTTAACTGGATGTGCTATGTTTTTATTTGCTAAATCTGGCAACCCTATTGAAAGTAGAAATTTTGTTTTTATCATTACTTTATCCAAGCTCTTAGGACAGTGTCTGGAAAATTGTAGTTCCTCAATAATAGTTACATGGATATAAATTTGAAGAAACATCTAAAAATAGAAACTATAGAAAGGAACTAAAAGCATTCATAGATCTGTAAACCAAGGAAAATAACTCAGAATTTTTGTTTATTTCCACCTAGAGCCTTTTTCTGTGTTTTTCTTTCCTTCTTGGTTGTTGTCATTACTATAGTATAACTGCACATCCCAGTTTTTTCACTGGTGACTTTAACATAAGCAATCATCATAGCACCAAGCTGTCCTAATAAACATAAAATTGTAAAGCTAAACAATAATGTATTTTGTAGATATATTGTAATTTATTTTTATATTGTCAAATCTGTTTTAAAAATTATCAGTGCTTTATACAGTGTGCCAATAAACATGTTGGTCTCTAAATATTTCTTTTCTATTTCTGTAAGATAAGTTAACAGAAGAGAATTTGGTTAGGGATACAGCCAAGATTTTACTAGATCAAGGAAAATATACATCTTTTGGTATTGCAAAATTAATTTCCAAAGGGTCAAGTTAATATACACGTTTACCTGTGATGAATTCAGTGCTCATTTTACCACATTCTGGCTAGACTATTTGATAGTTTACAATCTTTGATAATTTGACAGAGAAAAAACAGTATCTTGTTGTTTTAACTCACGACATTTTAAAAAGTAAAGAAGTAACATTTACCTACATATTGGCCAATCAATCATTTATTCTCTGGTGAATAGCTTTTGCCAATTTATTAGTGGAAGGTGTTTCTGATTTCATTCATTTGTATGCCCTTATTACAGATCAGAGGTATGAATCCTTTGTCTGCCATTCTTTGAATAAATGTTTTCAGTTCGCTTTTTAAATTTTGGCATGCCTTTTGTGACAAGGGCTTTATTAAAGGATAAGATTGCTGGTTTATTGTTAACCATGTCTTACGATTTCCTTTGGTCTGAAACACTGGCAGGGGCAGAATAACCTCAGGGCCTGGGTGTCTGGGGGAAGACAGAGGGAACGACATGGAGAAAAAACAACAGAATTTGGTCATTTGGCCATTGGAGAGAGTCACTATCTAAATTGGCTTTCTTTCTTCCCTTCTAGGTTTTTTGTTTGTTTGTTTTTTGAGACGGGAGTCTCACTCTGTCACTCCAGCTGGAGTGCAGTGCCACCATCTTGCCTCCGCCTCCCAGGTTCAAAGGATTTTCCTGCCTTTGCCTCCCGAGTAGCTGAGATGACAGGCGCGGGCCACCATGCCTGGCTAATTTTTTTGTATTTTTAGTAGAGAGGGGGTTTCGTCATGTTGGCCAGGCTGGTCTCGAACTCCTGACCTTAAGTGACCCACCCACCTCAGCCTCCCAAAGTGCTGGGATTACAGATGTGAACCATGGTGCCGGGCGCTTTCTAGGGTTTTGTTAGTCCAAGTCAACCACAGCCTGACTCCTTGCTCCACCTACTTAATGTGTATAGCCTTATTGTTAAGAGCCCACCTGTGCCAGCATGTTTGACTTTTTCAAAGATTTTTGTTTGTTTTAAGAAATTCACTTTGTCTAGTTGAGGCTGGTCACTTTTACACTCGTGTGTTTGTGTGTTCATTACAAATCAATTTTCAGGGCACTTATACAATTAAAAGTTTAGCCTTAGAAAAATCATTTTAAAATATGGTTATCAGGAACACCTTAGACTAAAAGTCCAGGACTGCCCTTTAGGACAATAAAAATGATGCACTAAGGAAAACTGGACTCAGATGAACTGACTATGCTGTGACAATAGATCAGTGCACAATATGACCTACTGGGGCTTGGGAAGAAAAAATTAGAATGTTTGCTTACATTTTATTTATTTATTTATTTATTTATTTATTTATTTATTTATTTATTTATTTAGAGATAGAGTCTCACTCTGTTGCCCAGGCTGGGTCCAGTGGCATGATCTTGGCTCACTGCAACCTTCTCCTCCCAGGTTCAAGTGATTCTCGTGCCTCAGCCTCCTGAGTAGCTGGGATTACAGGCGCATGCCACCACACCTGGCTAATTTTTGTATTTTTTAGTAGAGACGTAGTTTCACCATTACATTTATTTTAGCTCATTCTTTAAAGTGTTTATTATTCATCTACTTCATAATATACATAATTCAGTAAATAAATAAACATAAATTGAAGGAATGTATTAATTTTAAGCATAAGGATGCACAATAAAATGCTTACCTTGGAGATGACTATAAGAGATAACTATAAAGTATAACCATTCAGTGAAAGGGGTACCAAAGAAAAGAGGAAAAATGAGAAGAAAAAGTAAGTAAAGCTTCATTCACTTTATTAGTTATTAGAGCTGAATGGCATCCCAAAGTTACTTTTTGTAAGATGATCTTCACTTCTTTTGAAATGAAACCAGAATGCATTGAGGAAACTTTGGAGGTCCAAACTCTGCAAGTCGTAAACCATCAGTAATTTTAGAGCAAAAGCCTTTACGGGCTAAAATAGACTGATGTTATTTTAAATCAATTCAGCTGAGTTTTACTTCTAACCTCTCACCTGCTTAGTTACAAAGGAAGACAAACCAAGGAATAGTTAGGGTTTATGGGAGGGGAGTTTCTGTTATATACTCTAATACATTTCATTTTGTGAATTAAACTGTTTTTAGTATACTTTCTTATTATTCTTAATTTGCTTGATGACAAATTTAACATCAGTGTATGACCAGATATCTAGCATCTCTACTATTTCCTATTCCAAGTTTGTCTTAGTCAAAGGGAAACTAGAGAAATGGTAGCTGTGACCACCTGTAGTCTATACGGTTTTTTTTTCAACTTGGAGGTGACCAAGGTGAAGGTAGTCTATACCTTTTGTAGCATCTGCCAAGCTCACAGTGACCCTTACTTTCCTTCCATTCCACCGAGGCTGGGCTCCTGGATGCCATTTGGAGAAATATGGCTTGAAGGGTTCCCCCACCCCACTTCAAGAAGAGCTTTCAGTCTCTTTGTGGGGCTGAACCCAATATGGTGAAAGGACATATCCCTCTATGAAGATGAGGGAGCAGAGAAAGCTCGTGGGGAAAGAGAAAAAAAAAAGAATGAAACAACACACAGAGGGAAGGAGAGCTTAGATTTGCTGGAGATTCCCATTTTCATGTCCCTCTTCTTTCCTTGAATCATGAGACTTCACTATGTCATTGTAATAAATTCTTCATTTTCATTTCTTAAAGCTAGGCTTGGCTAGCCACAGTGGCTCATGCTTGTAATCCCAGCACTTTGGGAGGCCAAGGAAAGAGGATCGCTTGAGGCCAGGAGTTCAAGACTAGCTTGGGTAAGATGTTGAGACCCATGCTCTATAGATAAATAAATAAATAAATAAATAAATAAATAAATAAATAAATAAATGCATAAAGCTAGCTTCAGTTGGTTTCAATTACTAGCAGCCATAGTCCTAATGAGTGCACGACTAACATCTGGGGCTTCACAGCTTTTGAGTATGGAGCAATATTCTGGCAAATGGAAGGCTGTGCCCTCTTCTAACAGAAAGTCCAGGCAGTCTCTGTTCTCCTTAATTCAGTGTCACAGTTTCCCTCCAGGTTCCATCACATGTCTGCTAATAGTTTGTGTGATTGACTAAACTGCAGTTGCTAAGGTGGCTGAAGTCATTGGCTTAATCCTAATGACATTTATCTTTTCAATATGTTGCATGGCCAGAAACTTACTTCCTGCAATTAGTCAATTACATTACTTTAAATGTGTCTGTGGTTTTGTGGAAGTATTTTTCTGGAGAGGCTGTGGTCTCATGGGAGTCTGTCTGCAGAAGTAAAGGAACAGAGATTTGACAGGCCAGTCTGGAATATCTTATGGGCTTTCTTCTCTAATGGCCTGAAAGAGGATGCGGACAGCACCGTTCTGAGGAGCAATATGTTCCTTATGGGCAACTGGGAGCTCAACTTATGTGGCATTTGGATAAATATGAAATTACTTTTTAGTCAGAATGGTGAGGTCTGAACATACTACACTTCTACAAATAAGAGATTCTGCTGAACTCATCAGCTGATAGCTGCTCACATAATTTGAATTGAAGAATACTGTAAGGCTTCGCTCTTCAAGAAACAATTCTCTCACGAAGCACATCACCCACTCCTACAGGAAATTCCAACCCTTTTTGATCAGACAACGAAGGAGGAGCCAGGAATTATCCCCAGAAGGTTAGTGTTAAACAGCAGACGTTATCTAGGAGCAAAGGAGAATCCTGGGGATTCTATTGATCTCTCATTTTAAGTTGGCAAGCATTGTGGTTTATTATTAGACTAGCAAACTGTTGCCTAGGAAACTGGAAAAGAAAAGAGCTGGGGTTGAGAGGTACGTGTGGGTGGGGAATAAGGTTAGGAGACATTATTAAATAGCTTGGGGTAGACATGGATCCTCAGGGATGAGCATGGAAGGTTGGCACAACCAGTGCCCACACAATGACCTTGTTGTGGCTGGATGCCAGAAAGGCAATAAAAAAGTTCAAGGAAAGTGGGAAGAAATGTCCTGGTTGATGATTTAAAAGCAGAATATTTCAATGACCTCAAAGGTTTACCTTGGCTATCTTGCTGATCAGATCAACTATCTATTAGGAGCTATCATTCCAGAGTACCTCAAATATCTACTATGTACCTGTGAGAATATAAGAATCAAGTTAGAAACGACTGCCTTTGTTCTTCTGCTCATTTTTCCCTTTACATTCCCCTTACATGAAGGAATTCATAGTAGCTATACACACATTGCTATAGCAGAATTGAATGGGAACAGATTTATGCCTACATGAATTCACTGTTGTCCAGAAGTTAACCCTGGCAGTCGTGAAACTGACATGTCTTTGGACTAGGGTTGCCAGATTTATCAAAATAAAACAAAACAAAAGAGAATGTCCACTTGAATTTGAATTTCATATTCAAAATTTTACTGAGTGACTATATTTTATCTGATAACCTTACTTTGGAACCAGTGAGGAATACCTTTTTCTCATCAAGGAACTTGTCATATTTATATAGTAAGCAACTAAAATTGATCACTGCATATTCAATTCATGAAACAATTACTGAGCACTTTTTTGTGAAATATTGTGCAAGCTGTGGGGAAGCTGAGCATGATTAAAATATGATCAAATTGTGAAAACTTTATTTAATGAGGAAATATGTGAATAAGTAGGAAGAGCCTAAAATCATTCTATTATGTGAAGAGCATAATCCATCCTGTGTTTGAGGATGACAACTCCGTAGCAATGTAATGATGGATTGGTGAGGCAAGAGTCTAGAGGCAGGGAGTCAGCTAAGTAGAATGATGGCAATTATTGCCAAAGAGGAATTGTGCTCATGATTTTAATAAAAATTAACCACTGTCTCTTTAATGTATTGAACATCCTATTTTCTGGTTTTGAAGTGGAGTAAGAGCCACTTCAATACCCCTTCTGTTTTTGATCCTAGCCACTGAGGTCACATTGGCCCAAGCCTGCATTTCTCTCCCTGTAGCTGGCTGCTCTGTGGATTGCAGGCTACAGCATTCTCCTACATGTCTAAGAAGTGCACAGGACGCTTCTTGGGATACCAAATATCCCTGTACCCATATAGATTGAGAACTCGAACTTACCACTATGTTCCCAAAGTAAAAGGAAGTGCATGATTGTGATGCTTACAGGAACTGGGGGAAGCATGTATAAATTAATCACCAAGAACTTGCATCTGTAGATTTCTGATTTGGGGTTCTTGCTAGAAATGACAATTTTATGTTACTATTAAAAATATAACCTCAGGTCATGAGCGGTGGCTCATGCCTGTAATCCCAGGACTTTGGGAGGCCAAGGCGGGCAAATTGCTTGAGGCCAGGAGTTTGAGACAAGCCTGGCCAACATGGTGAAACCCCCGTCTCTACTAAAAACACAAAAAATTAGGCTTGATGGCACATGCCTGTAATCCCAGCTATTCGGGTGGCTGAGGCACGAGAATCGCTTGAACCTGGGAGGCAGTGCTTGCAGTGAGCCGAGATCATGCCACTGCACTCTAGCCTGGGTGACACAGCAAGATTCTGTCTCAAAAAAAAAAAAAGAAGATAACTTCAGAGTAATGGTAATGTTGTCTTTATTTAAACTGAGTTTCTTTGTTGACCACATTTGTATCTGTAATTCAGAGAGATAAAACAAATCAATACCCATAATTATAACTAAAATTCATTAACTGTTATTTAATACTGAAGATTTTCTAGTCAGTGTATTCAGCATTTTATGTGACTTATTTAATTTTTCCATTGACCATATGAAAGGATTAGAGATGTTATTAAGAGGCAATACATAAAGAAGAACAATGAAAGAATCATAAACATTATTAAAATTATAAAATGTGTCAAAAGCATGCCCATTATTTTTTTAAAATGCCATTTTTACTTAATAATTTTGTACAGATTAATAAGTGATAACATCAAATATTAGTTCTGATATAGTCCCATGTACTTTTGGGAAGATAAAAATTAGCAAGACTTCTGGAAGGCCATTTTTAAAATAACTTAAATGTTCATGCCCCAATGATCTAGAAATTATTTGTGAGGGAATTTGTACCAGAGAAATAATTAGAAATGTACACATAGATTCTTAACTAAGGATGTTGATTATAATATTATTATTGGGAAATAAAAAAGATCTGAATGTTTAACAATAAGAGTTTTGTGAATCATGTTTTAATTTCATTTTTTAATCATTTGTGAAGATGATGATTTTGTATTCATTCTTCATATTTCCTTGGAAAAATAATACTAAAACATTTAAAAAATGGTCTTCACGTAATTAAGACATTACAGAATATAATATTTTAAAGAAATTATTCAAATTTCTTTAGTTTTTTTCTTTATATTATATCGATACATTGGAAGAATCAATATGGCTTTAAAGTTTAGCAGTTAACTGTCTCTTTAATTAGCAATAAATAGTCTTCACAACAAAACATATATTTAAATAATTATCATTACATAATAATCTCCGTATTTGTATCCAGGTAATTCAGCCCATCAGAAAAATGTTGTCATATTATTACTAAATTTTCTCTTTGAGTATTTGTCCATAGGCTTGATTCAGGCTGTAGCAAGCCTATGTTTGCTTTTTTCCTCCCCCTTTAACATCTGCTTTATTTTTGAGTGAGAAAAGAGATTTGAGCACCTAGCCAGCCCATCAAAAAATTTCCCCGTTTAAATACAAAAGAAATAATCATCTTGAGGTCTCTTGCTGCTTTAATTTAATTTGCTCCTGTAAATTCTTTAGATTTTTACATACAAACTTGGTTCCATTTCATAAAGTCTAGTGGGCTCCCCGTCTAAATTTTTCTATCCACCTGACAGTCACAAGAACGCCTAGTTAGGATTAAGAACTCCTGGTAAGGATTAAGCCAGGAAGCAGTTTTTAACTACAACAAATTGAAACGTTTGCACAAGGAAGTGTTGCTTTTATAAGTGATGGGAAACTTCAAATTTGATTACAAGCAACCTTTGGCTTCCTATCTGTTCAACAATAGGCCATGTTGTTAAGGGCAATTTCCATGCACAGCATGTGGGTCCCATTTTTTCATCCTTAGACATGGTTGTTTACTGTTCAGCACTGTTTATGCATTTTAATCAGGCTTTTTCAGTCTCCCTTAATAAATCACTACAAAGTGAATGTACCAAAACAAGAACTATTATGCAGTATTGGTTGCCCTTACGCATTATTTGCTGCCCTGGAGTTTTACTCAGTATCCACATTTTGAAAAATCTATGACAGCAAGAAAAAAAATCCACATCCAAAAGTGTTATATTTAGAATTGCAACATTTCTGGCTAAATGCCCTCTTTGAGCTCCGTTCTTTAACAGTAGGAGCCTGACTTTAAAATTCAGTTCAAGCAAGAATGACTTAACAATTGGAACCTGCCATCGGTCCTTGGGACTGAAAGTCTTTTTGATGGGATGAAGCTGACAGCCTAGTTCCTGCTTAGCAGGCATTCACATGAAATGAGCCTGTATTAGTATAGATAAATGTTTAGACATTCAGGTATCTTTCTGTCTGAGAACAGTATTATTGGTTAAGGCAATGGTAAGCAGAAGAAAAAGGAGTTTTCAGGCACTTATGCCTGAATGAGAAAGGACAATGACTTGTTAGCATCATCTGGCAAGCAGGCAAAAGAAAGTTTGATCTCTCTCTTCCCTTCTTAAGGCAAAACTTTCATTAGCTTTTAAATGAACTAAGAATAAAGCACATTTTTTCCCTCCAAGGATTTTTTGTCATTAAATTAAATGCATTTTCTTAACTTTGGTTTCTATCATCAAAGTCTGATTATTACTAAGCTATATTTGAAAGCCCAGGCTAGAGGAAAGAATGCCCTGAAGGAAAAAGAAGTCAAGGGGTATTGTACAATGTAGATTTGCATTTTAAAACATGACTTGGCACTTAGAATTTAGATCCAGTGATCAATACTGGATCACTGGATCGAGTATTGTTGTAGTGATATATAAGAGTCACTAGAAAATTAATAGCCTATGTATGTATTATAATTTGAGGCTTGGGGGAGAGTTCAGCAAATACAGGAATTATAGGAAAATATTTTAAGTGAATGGATGGTTCCCAAACCAAGTAATTATTTGGAAATACCCATGCTAAACTGCATTGCAAAACATCTTGTATTACCCTCTGACATCACTATAAAATCCTCTGGAGGTGCTTTGCATAATTCTTCACAAACTCAGCTAGCCAAAGTGCTGTTTTGGATGTATCCGGGAAAAAAACAATTCAGGAGTAAGAAACATATTGTTATGTGTTTAATTAAGAGGTAGATACAAGTGCTGGAGGACTTTTTTTCTGAAAGTATTTATCATGAAAGCAACAGGCACACTTTTGGAGGTGTTTTTATTTTAATTCCTGCACAACTAATAGTGTAGCACAAAAATATTCCATCTGAAAAATATGAGCTTGGCATTTAATTTATAAGTTTTCTAAACTGTATCCAAATGTCCAGAAATTTACCCTTCACCCATTCCTTTTTGCCCACAAATTTATAATAGTTCTTTTTCATTTTTTTTTTTTTTCCAATCCAGGCTCTCAAGCTTTGATTTCTTTCCTCATAATGCCTCCTAATGCTATTGGTTGCATTAGGGTAAGGCACCCCAGTAAATATAATCTTTGCATGACAACTTCATTTAGTCTTTCAATAAACTCACTATAATTCTCTTTATTTCTTAATCCATGGTCCTTTGAGGTATAAACTGTTACGTTGACTCCTAATATTGATTCTCCCTTCCTCCTTAGTGAATAAACATTAATTTTAGCTGGGCACATTTTGCACAGGTAAAGAACCACATTGACCAGCCTTTCTTGTGGCTAGATGTGATGATGTGACTATGTTCTGGCCAATAAAATGTAAGTAGAAGTATTGTTTGGATCCTCCAAAAAGACTTTTTAAGAAGAAGGAGGAATGCTCTCTCTCCAACCCTTCCATTCACCCCCAAATCCAATTGCCTGGAATATAGGTGTGACGTTGGTCCCTCTAACAGCTGCAGGGACCTTGAGAATTAGGATGACATCCTATAGATGTAGGAATAGTAAGCTGTAAGAACCCTGACTCTCAGGGAACTTTACGTAGCTGTCATTCCAGTCCTGAGCTATGTTAGGTTTGCCTGTTACACACAACTGAAATAATCCTATACCCTAACCCAAGTATGAGAAAAAGTATGGAGGGTTTGACATGGGCTAGATTCTGGGACCTGTTGAGGCTGGGGGTCTCTGATAAACACATTGAGTTGGGACTCTAAGGGGCTTTGCTTTAAAAAGAAAGGTAAACCATAAATAATCCAGCACTCCCATTTAGGATCTAGAAATATCAATTATTGAAATTGAATAAAGGTCATTCTGGATTGCTAGCATCTGCAAGTGCCTACAAAAGCAAATGAAAATCCTCACTAGAGAAAGTAACATTATCCTAGGTGTCAAATCATTTCACAAACAAATTTTTATATACAATTTGTGGTATGCAATCCAAGATAACCTGACACGTAAGTAGACTAGTTTGTATAAAGAGAATCATCAGAAACTACAAACAAAAAAAATAGTACTGTAGGAGCCCCAGATATTAAATTAATAATATATATATTTTTTGAGACAAAGTCTTGCTCTGTCACCCAGGCTGGAGTGCAATGGTGCAGTCTTGGCCCACTGCAACCTCTGCCTCCCAGGTTCAAGTGATTCTCCTGCTTCAGCCTCCTGAGTAGCTGGGATTACAGGCACCTGCCACCACACGGGGCTAATTTTTATATTTTTAGTAGAGATGGGGTTTCACCATGTTGGCCAGGCTGGTCTCGAACTCCTGACCTCATTACCCACCCACCTTAGCCTCCCAAAGTGCTGGAATTACAGGCATGAGCCACCATGCCCGGCCAATAAGATTGTTTCAAAATAACTTGCTTGCCAAGTACAAGGAGATAAAAATAATATTCAAAAATTTCAGTTGAAAGCTAGAAACAATAAAAAATGTTACAGAACATTTGATCCCTCCAGAAGACCTTTATCCAAATAGAAATTTTAAAAGTAAGAAATATAATATAATATAAAATATAATAATCAAAATTAAGAAATTAGTAGATAGATTAAATAGCATATTAGATACAGATGAAGAGAGAATTAGTGAACTGGAAAAGAGTTCAGGATAAAATATCCAGACTTATGATGGAGAGATAAGACAGAACACAGGGCGAAAGAGAAAGACAAACAAAACCCAGAAAGGATAGAATATAAAGTGTAAAGATCTAATCTCCATTTAATTGGAGTGCCAGAAAGAAATAATAGAGAAAATGGGAAGAAGCAATGTTTGAAGAGAGAATGACTGAATTAAAAAAAAATACTGAAAAACGGCAGAGACACAACAAAAAAAGAGGATTTTAGACCAATATCCTTGATGAACATTGATGCAAAAATCTTCAATAAAATACTGGCAAACCAAATCCAGCAACACATCAAAAAGCTTATCCACCATGATCAAGTGGGCTTCATCCCTGGGATGCAAGGCTGATCAACATACACAAATCAATAAATGTAATCCAGCATATAAACAGAGCCAAAGACAAAAACCACATGATTATCTCAATAGATGCAGAAAAGGCCTTTGACAAAATTCAACAACTCTTCATGCTAAAAACTCTCAATAAATTAGGTATTGATGGGACATATCTCAAAATAATAAGAGCTATCTATGACAAACCCACAGCCAATATCATACTGAATGGGCAAAAACTGGAAGCATTCCCTTTGAAAACTGGCACAAGACAGGGATGTCCTCTCTCACCACTCCTATTCAACATAGTGTTGGAAGTTCTGGCCAGGGCAATCAGGCAGGAGAAGGAAATAAAGGGCATTCAATTAGGAAAAGAGGAAGTCAAATTGTCCCTGTTTGCAGATGACATGATTGTCTATCTAGAAAACCCCATTGTCTCAGCCCAAAATCTCCTTAAGCTGATAAGCAACCTCAGCAAAGTCTCAGGATACAAAATCAACTTGCAAAAATCACAAGCATTCTTATACACCAATAACAGACAAACAGAGAGCCAAATCATGAGTGAACTCCCATTCACAATTGCTTCAAAGAGAATAAAATACCTAGGAATCCAACTTACAAGGGATGCGACAGATCTCTTCAAGGAGAACTACAAACCACTGCTCAATGAAATAAAAGAGGATACAAACAAATGGAAGAACATTCCATGCTCATGGGTAGGAAGAATCAATATCGTGAAAATGGCCATACTTCCCAAGGTAATTTATAGATTCAATGCCATCCCCATCAAGCTACCAATGACTTCCTTCACAGAATTGGAAAAAACTACTTTAAACTTCTTATGGAACCATAAAAGAGCCCACACTGCCAAGTCAATCCTAAGCCAAAAGAACAAAACTGGAGGCATCATGCTACCTGACTTCAAACTATACTACAAGGCTAGAGTAACCAAAACAGCATGGTACTGGTACCAAAACAGAGATGTAGACCAATGGAACAGAACAGAGCCCTCAGAAATAATGCTGCATATCTACAACTATCTGATCTTTGACAAACCTGAGAAAAACAAGCAATGGGGAAAGGATTCCCTATTTAATAAATGGTGCTGGGAAAACTGGCTAGCCATATGTAGAAAGCTGAAACTGGATCCCTTCCTTACACCTTATACAAAAATTAATTCAAGATGGATTAAAGACTTAAATGTTAGACCTAAAACCATAAAAACCCTAGAAGAAAACCTAGGCAATACCATTCAGGACATAGGCATGGGCAAGGACTTCATGTCTAAAACACCAAAAGCAATGGCAACAAAAACCAAAATTGACAAATGGGATCTAATTCAACTAAAGAGCTTCTTCTGCACAGCAAAAGAAACTACCATCAGAGTGAACAGGCAACCTACAGAATGGGAGAAAATTTTTGCAACCTACTCATCTGACAAAGGGCTAATATCTAGAATCTACAATGAACTCAAACAAATTTACAAGAAAAAAACAAACAACCCCATCAAAAAGTGGACAAACGATATGAACAGACACTTCTCAAAAGAAGACATTTATGCAGCCAAAAAACACATGAAAAAATGCTCATCATTACCGGCCATCAGAGAAATGCAAATCAAAACCACAATGAGATACCATCTCACACCAGTTAGAATCGCGATCATTAAAAAGTCAGGAAACAACAGGTGCTGGAAAGGATGTGGAGAAATAGGAACACTTTTACACTGTTGGTGGGACTGTAAACTAGTTCAACCATTGTGGAAGTCAGTGTGGTGATTCCTCAGGGATCTAGAACTAGAAATACCATTTGACCCAGCCATCCCATTACTGGGTATATACCCAAAGGATTATAAATCATGCTACTATAAAGACACATGCACACGTATGTTTATTGCGGCACTATTCACAATAGCAAAGACTTGGAACCAACCCAAATGTCCAACAATGATAGACTGGTTAAAGGAAATGTGGTACATATACACCATGGAATACTATGCAGCCATAAAAAGGAATGAGATCATGTCCTTTGCAGGGACATGGATGAAGGTGGAAACCATTAGCCTCAGCAAACTAACACAGGAACAGAAAACCAAACACCGTATGTTCTCACTTATAAGTGAGAGCTGAGCAATGAGAACACATGGACAGAGGGAGGGGAACATCACACACTGGCACCTACTGGGGGGTGGGGTGGTGGAGGGAGAACATTAGGAAAAATAGCTAATGCATGCTGAGCTTAATACCTAGGTGATGGGTTAATAGGTGCAGCAAACCACCCTGGCACACGTTTACCTGTGTAACAAACCAGCACATCCTTCACATGTATCCCAGAACTAAAAATAAAAATTAAAAAAATTTAAAACGTCTGTGGTTTCTATTGATACGAGCACTGATAATTCCACTGTCGTTTGTTGCCTATATGTTTTATGAAAGAAAGTGCTTGTCTCAATTAAAGTTTAGTGAAAAGAAAGATGTGTATTTTTCCTGTCCAAGTTCATGGACCCCTCCGAGTGGTACACAAAATTCCAATGGTTCTGTGGACCTCAGGTTAAGAATCCAGGTTCAGACAGAAATCTTGACTATAGATATTTGAGAATTCTTATCATGAAGATAGTGGGTGAAGCCATAGGGATAGATGTAAGTGTACATAATAATTAGAAAGGGAGTTCCTAAGGAACACTAATATCTAAGAGATGGGCAGAGGAAGAGACGGCGCTAAGAGAAAACGAGATGTAATGTTAGAAAAGTAGGAGGAAAATTAGGAGAGACTGGGGTCACAAAAGTTATAGAAGGGAACAGTTTCAAGAGAAGGAAATGGTTATCAGTATCACCAGTGTAAGAGAAATTAAGAAGACAAGGACAAAGAGTGATCCCTTAGATTTAGCAAGAGAAATCACAGATGACTTAGACAAGAACTGGTGTCTATAGGGTGGAAGAGGAAGAAGTCAGGGCAATAGCTTGAGGGATGAACGGGAGAAAGAAGAGACAGAAAGTAGACAACCCTTTCTAGACAGTTAACCTTAAAGATGCAAAGAGAGAGAAATGGAGTGATTGCTAGAGGAGATCTATAGGGTCAAGAAGGAGAAACTCAAATGTGTTTAAATGCAGATAGAGAAGACCCCATAAAGAGTGACAGATTAAGGTACATGTGGTGGTTAAGTGTGCAGGCTCTGGGATCTCACTGTCTTGCTCCACACCACTTTTTATTTGTGTTACTTTGAATAAATTTCTCCTTTTGTAGATGGAGATAAAAATAGCGCCTATCTCAATAGGACTATTGACAGGATTTCATAAAAAGTGTATAGAACAGTGTATGGTACATAGTAAGCCTCAGTAAATGTCAGTTATTTCTATTTGTATATTTTAAAAAGAGATTATTGATGATAAGTCCCTGAGGGGGCAGTAGGGATTGATGTTTGGGTCATCTATTGCTGTGCAACAAACTACTGCAAAATTTGGTGCCTTAAAACACAATTCATTATTATCCTTCATGCTTCTGTGTATTGACTAGGCTCAGCAGAATAGTTCTCTTGGGGTCTTATGCTGTGAACATCAGAATGGTGTCTGGGGCTGTAGCCAGCTGAAGGTTCAACAGGATTGGACATTGAAGATGGCTCATTCACATATCCATTGCCTTGATGTGTCTGTTTCACTCTGATACTCGGCCTGCTTTCCCTTCTCTAAGAGGCTCATTCTCCAGAGCCTCTTCATGTGGCCTGGGCGTCTCTTAACATGGTGATCTGTGGGTAGACACACTTCCTATATGGCAACTTGTTCCAAGAGGCAGAAAGCAGAGGTTCCAGGCCAGTTAAGGGCTACTCACAGCACAACTGTCCATCAGCAACATCTGGGGTGATTACAGAAGAGACCGATTCTAATTCTGATTCTGATTCAGAAAGTGTTGAGTGATGCCTGGTATCGCATTTTTAGCAAACTCTACATAGGTGGTCCTAACACACAGCCAGGCTTTAACATTACAGGGCTAGGAAATCAGAGGGAAACACAAATTGCCCCAGTTAGCTCTCAGCATCAACCTGCTCTTACCCTTCCTCATCAAACTTTCCTTTCCTTTTAAATATTATAAATTTCTTTTTTCAACTTCATGATTCTTTCCTCACTGTGAATCATTCCTTTATTTTAGTATAATATTTCTAAAAGGAGAACACCCCTTTTTTTCTGAGTAATTTGGAACTATCAAATCAAACAAATTCAAAGTTAAACATGGATTTTACATATAAAATATCCTGTTATTGATGATATGTTTTTTGTGGGAAACATTTTAAAATGGTCAGCTTCTTAATTGTATCTCATTTTTCTATAAAGAAGTTATTTACTTCCTATGATTTCACCACTCTCTATTACACTGGCCTGATTTCACTTCTCTGTGAACCAGCCTTGATACTCTGACCTATTTACTCCTTTTTTGAATACAGTCAGTGCCTTTACCCTCCCTCACTCCATTGCACATGTCAGGAAAACTCAAACCATCCATTTTCTCCATGCACAAACGTGAGCAGCTGGAAGTTACTATAGAAAATCAAGTCATTAGGATGACTGATTTACATTAACAACTAACACAAAACTCAATCACGCCAGGCAATTTTAAATGTATTCCCAGTAAGTTTACTTTCCTACTTTCCAAAAAATAGCGTTTGATTTCATAACTATACCTCCATCCTCAGACCTCCCTACCAATTTGCTGATTTCGCATGTATCTGAATCTATCTAAGCTTTCCAGAAACTCCTTTATCTTTTCACCACCAAATTCATAAACTGCTTGCACTGATATCTCTTCCAGTGTTCTATGTGGTTACATTGGAGGATGTGTCCTTCCTCCCATCAGAGACCCATCCTTACACAAGGAATGTAGATCCTATCACTTCTCCATTTCTGAAAGACAGCCCTTCAGTTTTCATTCTTCTCCCTTGCATCACGAATCTTTTTCAAAACTTATTCCTAAACTTCTTTCTTTTAAAAAATATTCATCCTAACTTCACATTCTTTTCTAGCAACGGTCTCATTTCCAGCCTCTGTTTTGTAGCAAAAATTTTTGAAGGTGGCCTTTACGCAGTTTCCATTTAACTGTCCTGCATTTCATTCTTCATTTCAACCCCTTCTACCTATTAAAACTTTTCCATTCTTACCTTTATAAACCTTTCAGCAACATTTAATACAATTGCCCACTTCTGCCTTCTAGAGTCACTCTCCTCTCTCTGCCTCTGAGTGTGACATCACACTCTCCATGTATGGAAGTTAGCTTCTAAGATGGCTCCCAATGGTCCTCACCTTCCAAGTGCCCTTGTGTAATCCCCTCACCTTGTGTGTGGGCTGGATCCAGGGACTTCCTTCCAAATGAACAAGATATGGCAAAAGTGATGGAATGATACTTCTGGGATTAGATTACAAAGAGTCTGGCTTCCATCTTGCTCACTCTTTCTTGATCTCTTTTTTTTTTTTTACTTTTATAGAAACCAGGTGCCATGTTGTGTGCTTCCCTCTGGAAGAGACCACATGGCCAAAAATGGAAGGAGGTCTCCAGTCAACAGCCAGCCAGGAAGTAGATCCTACCAAGCACCAGCTGGTGGGCTTGGGAGCAGGTCCTCCCCAGTTGAGCCTTGAGATGATTGTAGCCCCAGCCAACACCTCTACGGGAGCCTGCAAGGGAGCTTGGGCCAGAGAACCCAGTTAAACCGAGCCTGGATGCAGGGTCCACAGAAACCATGAGAAAATAAAGAGTTGTTTTAAGCTGCTAAATCTTAGGTTAATTTGTTACACAGTTATGGATAACTAATACCTCAGAGATCAGCAAACCACAGCCCATGGGCAAATGTGGCCCACGACTTGCTTTTGTAGTGCCTGTGAGCTAAGAATGGTTTTTACATTTTTAAATGATTGAAAATTAATAAAAAGAATAAGATTTCCTAAAGCATAGGAATTACATAAAATTCAAATTGTATCCATAAATAAAGCTTCACTGGAACACAGTCACATTTATTCATTTATGTATTGTCTATGGCTGCTTTTGTACCATAACTGCAGAGGTGGGTAGTTGTGAGAAAGAGTCCCTGTGGCTTGCCAAGCCCAGAATATTTGACTCTACAGAAAAGTTTTCCATTCCTTCTCTACCTTTGCTGGCTCCAACTCCTCTGTTGGAACTCTAAACATCCTACTTTCTTAGAGCTCTGTTCTGGGCCCTTAGTGGCTTCAATTGTGTGTGTGCACATGTGTGTGTATACATATAAATGGTATTCAAAAATATGGGAATGGTTTGAATCTATGTGTGTGTGTGTATATATATATATATATGTATATATATATATATACACACATATACACACATATCAGATAACATTATGAAAGTTACATCGTACGAAATATATAATGTATCTAATTATATATTACAATTACTCTCTATTTCATGTTTGTACTTCTATATCCAATAAGCTTCTCAAGCTTAACATGTAAAAAATAGGAGTCCTCTGCTTCCTTTTACCTCCAAATCCTATTTTCTTCTTTTCTTTCCCATCTCAGAAGGATACTATCATCTACCCAGCTGGTCTACTAGACGTTGAGTGATCCTCAGTTTCTCCCGATTCCTCATCTTGTATATGCACTCCATCAATAAGACATATATTTTATTTCCGAAATATATTTTGGACTATACTCAGTCCATCTCAATTAGTTCCTGAAACACAACATCCATTTTTTTCTTTTTATCACTTATCACAATCTATAATTATTGTAAATATTTATTTAATAGCATATTTTATATTTCCTTAACTAGAATTTAAACTCCTTGAGGACAGGGAGAGACAGGGTACATTGTCTTATGCACTATAATATCCTCAATGCCTTGCTCACTATAAATACAGGCTGGGCAGTTAATAAATATTATTGAATAAATAAGCCTGGTAAATGCCTGATAAGCAGAAGCTATAGCTCAGCAGGCATTAATGTACTTTTAAAAAGTAATTTAATTGGGATACTATAGTCTACCTTTTTTGGATGTATTTATTTGTGTATGTATTTATTTTTTGCCTATTTGTTACTACATTTAATAGAAGCAAATATCACTGCACTCCAGCCTGGGTGACAGAGTAAGACTCCTTCTCAAAAAAAAAAAGGGCAATGAGAGAAAAAGTTAGTTCCTCTGTTTTTAATTAGAGTATTTCATTAAAATATGTGTTTAGAGAATAAATAGTTGTGTTATTTTAATGACTAAAGAAATACTGTG
Source organism: Homo sapiens (assembly GCF_000001405.40). NCBI lineage: Eukaryota > Metazoa > Chordata > Mammalia > Primates > Hominidae > Homo > Homo sapiens. The sequence goes on along the minus strand of NC_000012.12, from coordinate 45,079,221 downwards.
GCTTATATATGACAATTTATAAACTACAGTCTAAAATTTATAAAAATGTAATGCTAATTATACATATTATATAAAGATATCACCAAGGAATATGCTGTCTTTCAACAGTGACTCACACTGCCTAACAGTTGCATTAGGCAAAGTAAGAAAAATCCAGATAAGTAACAGAAATAAAAGAAAAACATACCTACAAAGGTATATTTAAATAAATAATTTAATTGCATTATGAGGCCTGTTACTACTCACTTAAACCAAATATAAGTCTTTACATGATAAAACTGAATTATTGCTTTATATCATTCTATTTTCCTTTGATTTTACAACCTAGTAGTAATGTATTTATGTTCTGTTTCTAATTGATTCAATATTTTCTTTCATTGGGATACTATAGTCTGCTTTTCACCTTCCCCTGACCCCAGCTTATTGAACTCAGGCATGACCAATGAAATGTGAGCAGAAGTCATGGGTGCCACTTCTGGGCAGAAACTTTAAGAGTGAGTGTGTGTTGAGCTACACTTTCTTTCATTTCCCTCTACTGAAAGGCCAGAAATGTTTCAGATAGAGGTTTCTTCCTCAGCTTTGGCTCAGGAATGAATCCTATGAGGAGGAGAGGTATAGCTGACCCAAGATGAACATAAACTTTTATTGCTTTAAGCCATTACAATTTTGGAGTCATGTGTTACCAGAGCATAATGTAGTCTCTCCTTGTCTTTGAACATTATATATATTTGGAACAAGCATAGAAAAAACTTACAATGATGGGGCATTGACTAGAAAAAGTCCATTTTAAATTCATAAGGGAACAAAGTTGTAGAATATTTTAAAGAAATCAAAACTTACTATTTTCAAATATAACAAGAACCTCAAATAGGGGAGTAATAAATAGACATTAAACTCTAATAGAAAGCTGATACATGGAGATAATCTATTTAATTAAAAGATATAATCTGTTAGATACAAATTGTAATTTAAGAACAAACGAAAGATGTTGGTGTGCCATTTGTTTGAGAGATGTGCTCTTTAACAAGTTAATTGTTGTCAACATGGTTAGGTTAAGGAAGAAAGCATAGTTCTAGCCAAAGTGTTAGACTGGAGGTGTTAGCAGATGGAATGAAGAAAGACAGAGTGAAATATATGTATAAACTTGAAAAAAGCAGAGGGTAATTGAATAACATAAGGAATATCATTTGAGAATCATGTCATACAATTTAAAAGGCTGATTGTCAAGTAATGCTCACTTCCAAGGCTTTGTCATATCACTCTAGTTTCCAAACAAATGGAATTTCCAAATAAATCAAAACTGCAAAACTCAATAGAGGATTAGGAAACTAGAAAAAAACTAGAAATTAATTTTTGTTTATGTGCTTAAAATGACTATTGTATTTTACACGACGCATTCTTACCAGATAAATGACACTCTAAAGCAAAGAGATTAACACATCCAAACCTGGTTCAGAAAGCCAGGATTCATAGCCTTAGAGCAGAGGTTCCCAAAGGATTAACTTTTCTGGGTTTGCTTTATAATTTTGGCAGTAAATGTAAAACATTTAAAGTTCATCTGAAGGGACTATTTTGGTGTAAATATTGGAGAATATGACAAAATTCATGATGCAATATGCGTCCTTGCTTTTGTCCAAAGCAGTAATTCAGGTCAAATTACAAAATGCAGTAGGATCTCAATATGAATGAGAGACACCTGTGACTTTGAGGAAATGAAGATAAAAACAGCTGAAAAGACTCCTGCTCAGCAGCATCAGAGTAATTTCCTCAAAATCTTTCAGTAGTCTCACATTTCACTTTGGGCCAAGCAGCAGAAGTGGAAAAGTGGTTAGAAATGATCAATGAGCAAGTAATGCCAAGGAAACTGAATGGCCTGGAAGGAAACTGGGAAGTTTCCCAGTAACAGAAGAAAGTCAGTAAAATAGAGCTTGAAGGTAGAATGCAGGGCACGGAGATGAACAATGCCCAGGGTAAGGCAAAATAATGCACAAAAAGCCAAACAGGGCCAGCCAGAAAAGGCATGTGCAAGAAAAGTAGGACAATAAGAGCATGAGTCCTGCCAGATCGAAATGGAAAACATATTTATACATGTCTTTCAGAGGTGAGCCAGATTTTTAGAATTTATTTTGAAGACCCAAGAGTATTTGGGGGATGGGGTGGGGGTGGAGGGAATAGGAGAATATTTAAGAAAGTACAGAATTTAATTGAGCAATGATTATTGAAGTGGTTGAATAAATTTCTTAACATGTTATTGTACTTTCTTTTAAAAATAAAATGTTTTTTCTCTTTGAAGAGAAAATAAGTCAAGGATTAAGGTATAATCTGCCCAAGGCTCTGAATTGTGAGTGGGTGTTAGGCTGTGGAGGGAATCCACAGAGTTAGCAGTTATTGGGAAATATTTATTTCTCCCTGAGTAATCATGCACCAGCCAGATTTCCAGCAGGTTACTAAAAAGGCTGCAATGATTCTCTAGAATCTCTTTCTTTCAGTTGAGAAAAGAACCTAGCTCCTCAGTCTCCTTTCTAAAGGTGTCCGAATGTTGGAGCAGGATCTCAGATTACAGCTGATTGCAGCAGTGGGAGGTCAGCTATTCACTCCTGGAGTTCACCAGCCCGAGTTCATACTACAGGGGCTGTTGCTCTCCACCAAGCACAAAGATGTCTCCTGCCAAAGGGAAGAATTTAGCTGACTATGGAGGAACAGGGAAGAGTTTCTTTAGACTCCATTGCAGAAGTCCAATTCTTAGTGGAACTATTCTAAGTACGGACTGTTTAAAAAAAAAAAACCTGCCTGTTGTTATTTAAATTTTTAATATAATTTTTTGTTGATACATACTAATGATATATATATTTATGGGGTATACATTGTATTGATTTGTCACTTATAAAATTTGAGGAGGCACACTAAGTGGATACACATGTTACTAAACAGATTACAGAACCATCAAAATAACATAAAAGATCTAAAGTCAAACAGACAGAGGGTGAAAATGAGAGAAATACAAACTAAGAATTGTTAGGATTGAGCTCTCAAATTAGCTCAACTTCTTGGCAGCCAAAACACGATGGGCTATGTCATTCTCATCATGGCCTGATAAAATTAAGCATGCTAGTTCCTCAGGAAAGACAAGATTTCCTCAGACTCTAAATTCACAGTAGAATAGACTCCACCTCCCACATAACACTCAAATTCTCCTGCTCCTATCATCAGTGTAACAAATCCAATCCAAAATAACAGCAGCTCTCATCTGGATTACTTTAGCAGTGTCCAATCAGTGTCTTCAGATCCTAGCATAGTCTCCACACCACCACAAGAGTGGTCCTTTTAAAATGCAAATATGATCATATCTCATTGCTGTGAAGACAAAATCCAAAATCCTGAGTGCTGCATACAAGACCCAGCATGATCTGGTTCCAGCCTACTTCTCCACCCTAGTGACGACATACACTTAGGCAAATGCTCTGTTTGGCAGGCTCTCTCATCTCCTTATCGTCTCCTCTTTAATGGCTAACTCACATTCTCTATTATTTTACACCCTACGCACAGATTTTACCCATCTGACCCTTAAGTCGTTTGACTTTTTGAGGTTGTTCTTTTTTGGCGGCCAGATTTCAGCACAGGCCAAAGTGGTTTTTTTTGTTTTTTTTTTTTAGATGGAGTTTTACTCTTGTTGCCCAGGCTGGAGTGCAATGGCGCAACCTCCGCCTCCCGGGTTCAAGCAATTCTCCTGCCTCAGCCTCCCGAGTAGCTGGGATTACAGGCATGCGCCACCATGCTTGGCTAATTTTTGTATTTTTTTTTTTTAGTAGAGGCGGGGTTTCTCCATGTTGGTCAGGCTGGTCTCGAAATCCCGACCTCAGGTGATCTGCCCACCTCAGCCTCCCAAAGTGCTGGGATTAGAGGCGTGAACCACAGCTCCCAGCCTTCCAAAGTGGTTCTTCAAGGAACTTCAGCAAAATGGCCTGAGCCTATTTAGGCATCCTCAATTATTATGCTCTTTTTCTTAAACATGAGTAGCCTCTAATACCTAATTAAGCTCATTAGGGGATATCGAGCTATACCCATAACTCTACTACCAGGCATGAAAACAAGGGTCAAACTGAATTTTATGATATATTTAAACATTTTATGTGCTAGCAGGCAAAGAAACAGTCATAAAATGTTTTATAAACCCTGTGATGTTCCAGCTCTTGGTCCTTCCAAGTTTCTACCCTGTCTAAGAGGTTCACTTGAGGAAATGTGACAATGTTCCAATATGAGATGCTAACATTATAGTCGGTTTAGACAAAAATTATTTAAGTCAGTGATTGAACACAGGACTGATTCAGAATTAAGCCTTCTTTTCCATTTGGGAAGGTATAAGCTTTCATGTAAAAATAAAAATGTTTTTCTCCACATCTCTAACACCACTTATTTATCCAGTGGGAAAAAATAATTTATCATGTCAGTAGTGGTAACTAAAAAACCCTCTGGTGTTAATTGAAGTTAAAGATAACCAAAGTGCTTTTGGTAGCCTCTTCTGGATTATTGGCTTTTGGTTAAATACCAACCAACCAGCCCTGAGGTATGTATAACCTAAAACTAAATTATGCGTCTTTATAGATCCATTTCTTAGGCTAAAGTATTTAAAGTAAAATACTAACCACATTACAGATACATACCATTCCAAAGAACTACAGTAATACTAAAAGATAACTGAAATAGAACATAGAAAATACAGAAAAACGGATTTTTACATCTCTTATACATACTATCAAATATACTTTTTTCTCACCTATATTTTTGACAGAATTCAGAGAGACATCAGTTCAAGACTGAATTCTCAAGCAGATACTCTCCTATGTAGGCTAAAAAAATGATCAGTTTGCTTTATATGTGAAATATACTGGTAGCAAAGTTGATATTTAACTATAAAAATCTGGGAGAATGACTTGTGCTTTTGGTAGAAAAGAGCACTGAATTGTAAGCTGCAAGACTTTCCTAGAGTAGAGGGTTGATACTGCTCAAGGCAGCACAGACATCTGACAGTTTTGGCCTGGGATATTTTAAGAGATAAATGCTCTTGCTTGGTCTTGATGAGAAAAGAAGTTTGCTTAGAATGTCTTATTTTGAACATTACTTCCAATTGGACAATTTGCTATCAAGTTGATTTTTGCAGAATTATTACAGAAATTATTCTGGTTATTACAGAAATTACTTAGGCCTACATTCTATCATCATCAACTTCAACATCAACAGCACATCATATGCAATGACATATTTATCAAATGATTTCTAGGTATAAAGCTACATATTAGATTATAGGGGTTTACAGAATATGTCAAAAATATGGACTTTGAGGATCTTTTAGTAAATTTAAATTTTGCTTCCTTAAGCAAATGTTTCATAAGACTCTTATACACAATCTCTATTAAACAATCATTTGGTGAAGAGGGAAAGTGTATGCAAGACCTGTCTATTCATGACTCCAAAATATGTATTATTTAATTCAAAAAAGTGTATGGATTTATGAGAAGGATTTTTATTAACGTAAAAATAACTATTATACTTTGAATATCACATTAAAAAACAGTCAAATCTGACAGGCTAGATTTATAGATGTTGAATCTCCCCCGCTCCAAAACCATTACACATACATATATTTATGTAAATATTCAGATGTTTGCCATTATGTAGACAAATACCTGGGGGATTTAATTTATTTCATTTCATTTTGTCTTATACAGTATGATTTCCATTGCTTTAAAAATTATATGCACTTGCATATACATATATAGATAGACATGAACTTGCCTCCATATACATGGAAGATGTCTGGAAAACAATATAAAAAACTGTTAGTGGAAGTTACTTTCGGGAAATAATTTGTAGGTGATGAAGGACTTTGTTTTGCCTATTTTTATTTTGGAAATTAGACAAATATATATGAATGCGAGAGAATAGTTTAATGAGTCAACATACCATTATCCAGCTTCAGCAATCATACATTCCTTATTGCTCTTGTTCTGTTTCATTTATCACTTACCAAACCCTGTAGATTATTTTGTTTTTGTTTTTTAATAAAGAATATATTTTATTAGCTTTTACTAACATATTATCATATTACAAAGGCAATTTAAGGGAAGACTCTTCCTTTCGATACTTGAATAATCTGAAACAACACACACAGAACTATGCATTTTTAAAAAATCCTCATTTGGATAACAAAAAAAGACAAGTTAAACAACAAAAAAACTTCTCCTTTCTCACATATGAACATTGAAGTGGACCTAATTTTTTTTTTCATTTTAAAAGTGCCCCAAAACAAAAGCAGCTTAAAACCTAATAAAATGAATAAAAAATGTGTTTACCAAACTACTGGTTTACTAAGCTACTGACACCATTTTCTGTTGTTTTGATGCAGGTTCTTCTGTCTGTTTCTTCTCTTGCTCATTTCACTAGTCTACTAGCACCATTTTCATCCTGTTCACCATCATTAGCAGATTTGGTTTTTTTTTAACCTTGAAACATACTTTTCCTTTAGCACACCCAGGCCAGACAGCTTAATTACCCTTTCCTCTTCCTTTAAATCTGCAACCTTTTGACTCCTATTTGTTTAGGGATTCTCGTGTTGGTCTTCTAAGATTTTTTTCAATGCTTCTTTTTCCACCTCTCCTTCTAGTACTTCCCAATTCACTTCTTTGTTCTTAATTGTAGGTTACCGTTACTTGCGTCTTTGGCTTTACCCAATACTTCCTTGACATTTACGTTAATTAGAATTATTCCATCCCCTGTTCTGCTCCTCTGACAAGGTCTATTCATTTTCTTTCACCGTGATTTCAGAAAAGAATGTGTAAATCTTCTCTACAGGTTTGATCATCTAAGTCACCTGAAAATTTCAGCAAGCACCCAATCTTTTCTTCTAGATATTTCATTCAGCATCTTCTAACTTTTGTTTTTCTTCTCACTCTTGGTTAGCTCTTAATTTAGCTTCCACTTCATTTTGTTCTCTTTCTTCATTTTTTTTTTTTTTGGCAAAGTAATCTTCCTTGAAAAGTATTAGCAGGTCTGTGTTTTTGTATTTCTGGCCAGGGGTCTCTACAAATTTCTTGGCAGATTCAATGCTACCAAACATAGCAAAAACTGATCCCTTAAATGCTTTATGCAATGTTCCTCTCATCTGAATATTGTACTTGACCTTTTTCTTTTAGCCATTCTTTTATGTCATCAAAAGTTGTATCAGTTGGGAAGCCGTTGATATAAACACATCTGTTTTTACATCAGTTTTAGACTCATCAGTTACTTCAGGGAGGGGCTTGCATGGAGACCTTCTGAATTTAGTTTTATCTTCACTGATTTCCATGAGTTCTGCCTTGGATTTTCTCAGTGCTTCTACAGTTACAGTAAAGTCTATTGTTAGATGGCTTAACCTGTTGAATTTCATTATCTTCAAAGGTACCCAGCTTTCAATCATAGCGCACTGCAGCCTTAAACTCCTGCGGTGAAGAGATCCTCCCACCTCAGCCTCTGTAGTAGCTGGGACTATAGATGTTCACCATTGCACAAAATATGCCACGGCCGGGTGCAGTGGCTCATGCCTGTAATCCCAGCACTTTGGGAGACCAAGGAAGGAGGGTCACTTGTGGCCAGGAGTTTGAGATCAGTCTGGCGAATATAGTGAGACCCAATCTCTCTATATAAATAAAATAAAATATGCAACAACTTCTCCATATCATCAAATACTTAATCGATGTTCACATTTCCCCAATTATCTCATGCCTTTTTTGTCATTATTTTATTCTAATCATGAGCCAAGCTAAGTCTACCTGTTGCATTTAATTGATTTAGATCTCTTTTTAATCTGTAACAGTTCCTTCTTTTTTTTTTTGTCATTTATTTAACAATGAAGTCAGTTATTTGTTGTGTAGAATGTCTCATATTCTGGATTTTAGAGATTGTATACCTGAAGAGTTATTTAATATGTTTCTGCATTTCCTGTAGAGGTTTGATCAGATTCAAGTTTATATATATATATATATATATATATATATATATATATATATATATTTTTTTTTTTTTTTTTTTTTTTTTTTTTTTTTGAGAATGGGTCTCATTCCGTCACCCAGGCTGGAGTGCAGTGGCACAATCTTGGCTCACTGCAACCTCCACCTCCAGGGCTCAAGCGATCCTCCCACCTCAGCCTCCCACATAGCTGGGACTACAGGTGTGTACCACCATGCTGGGCTAATTTTTTTATTTTTTGGTAGAGATGGGGTTTTGCCATGTTGCCCAGGCTGGTCTTGAACTCCTGGACTCAAGTGATTTCCCCCCTCGGCCTCCGAAAGTGCTGGGATTACAGGGGTGAGCCACTGTGTCCAGCCAGATTAAAGATTTATTTCAATGTTTTTTGGCAAAATATATTTCAGAGGTTGGCATCTGGCTAGTCTAGAATGGTCTCAGTTGGATCAATTCAGCTCAATTCCATGTGGTCTCTCCTCTTTCCGGGGGGTGACCCCAGGTTTATTCCTGTAGAGATTGCAGGGTGTTCAAGGAAGGCTGATATTGTTTAGCTGTGTCCCCACTCAAATTTCATCTTGAACTGTAGTTCCCATAATCTACATGTGTCATGGGAGGGACCTGGTGGGAGGTAGTTGAATCATGGGGGCAGTTACCCTCATGCTGTTCTCATGATAGTGAGTTCCCAAAAGATCTAATGGTTTTATAAAGGGCTTTTCCCCTTTGCTTGGCACTTCTCCTTACTGCCACCACGTGAAGAAGTACGTGTTTGCTTCCCCTTCCACCATGATTTTAAATTTCCTGAGGCCTCCCCAGTCCTGCAGAACTGTGTCAATTAAACTTCTTTCCTTTATAAATTACCCAATCTTGGGCAGTTCTTTATAGCAGTGTGAGAATGGACTAATACCATAAATTGGTACTGAGTAGTGGGGCACTGCTGTGAAGATACCCCAAAATGTGGAAGCAAATGTAAAACTTGGTAACAGGCAAAAGTTGGAACAGTTTGAAGGGCTCAGAAGAAGAGAGGAAAATGTGGGAAAGTCTGGAACTTACTAGAGACTTGTTGAATGGCTTTGACCAAATGCTGACAGTGATATGGACAATGAAGTCCAGGCTGAGGTGGTCTCACATGGAGATGAGGAACTTCTTGGGAATTGGAGTGTATTATTCCGTTTTCAAGCTGCTTATAAAGACATACCCGGTACCAGGAAGAAAAAGAGGTTTAATTGGACTTACAGTTCCACATGGCTGGGGAGGCCTCAGAATCATGGCAGGAGGCAAAAGGCACTTCTTACATGGTGGAGGCAAGAGAAAATGAGAGAGATGCAAAAGTGGAAATCCCTGATAAAACCATCAGATCTCATGAGACTTATTCACTGCCACGAGAACAGTATGGGAGAAACCGCCCCCATGATTCAAATTATGTCCCACCGAGTCGCTACAACACATGAGAATTATTGGAGTATAGTTCAAGATGAGATTGGGGTGGGGACACAGAACCAAACCATATCATGGAATAAAGGTGACTCTTGCTATGCTTTAGCAAAGAGACTAGTGGCATTTTGCCCCTGCCCTAGATATCTGAAGAACTTTGAACTTGAGAGAGACAATTTAGGGTATCTGGTGAAAGAAACTTTTAAGTGGCAAAACCTTCAAGAGAAAGCAGAGCATAAAAGTTTGAAAAATTTGCAGCCTGATGATGCACTAGAAAAGAAAACCTCATTTTCTGGGGAGAAATTCAAGCCAGCTGCAGAAATTTGTATAAGTAATGAGGAGCTGAATGTTAATCACCAAAACAATGGGGAAAATGTCTCCAGGGCATATCAGAAACCTTCACAGCAGCCCCTCCCATCATAGGTCCAGAGGCCTAGAAAGGAAAAATGGTTTTGTGGACCAGGACCAGGGACCTCCTGCTCTGTGCAGCCTCAGGACATGATGCCCTGTATCCCAGCTGCTTCAGCTCTAGTCGTGGCTAAAAGGTGCCAACATACAGCTCAGAGAATGTTGCTTCAGAGGGTGCAAGCCCTAAGCCTTGGCGGCTTTCACTTGGTGTTGGGCATGTGGGTGCACAGAAGTTCAAGAATTGAGGTTTGGGAACCTCTGCCTAGATTTCAGAGGATGTATGGAAATGCCTAGATGTCTACGCAGAAGTTTGTTGCAGGACTGGAACCCTCATGGACAGCCTCTGCTAGGGTGGTGCAGACGGGAAATGTGGGGTCGGGAGCCACCCCACAGAGTCTCTACTGGGGCACTGCCTTGTGGAGCTATGAGAAGAGGGCCACCATCCTCCAGATCCCAGAATGGTAAATCCATTGACAGCTTGCATCGTGTGCCTGGAAAAGCCACAGACACTCAATGCCAGCCATGAAAGCAGCTGAGAGGAGGCTGTATCCTGCCAAGCCACAGAGGCAGAGTTGCCCAAGGCTATGGGGGCCCTTCTCTCACATCAGTGTGACCTAGATGTGAGACATGGAGTCAGAGGAGATCATTTTGAAACTTTAAGGTTAATGACTGCCCTATTGGATTTGGGACTTGCATGAGGCCTGTAGCCCCATTGTTTTGGCCAATTTCTCCCATTTGGAATGGGTGTATTTACCCAATGCCTGTACTCCCATTGTACCTAGGAAGTAACTAACTTGCTTTTCAATTTTACAGGCTTATAGACAGAAGGGATTTGCCTTGTCTCAGATAAGACTTTGCACTTGAACTTCTGTATTAATGCTGGAATGAGTTAAGACTTTGGGGAACTGTTGGGAAGGTATAATTAGTTTTGAAATGTGAGAACATGAAATTTGGGAGGGGATAGGGGTGGAATGATATGGTTTGTCTGTGTCCGCACCCAAATCTCATTTTTAATTGTAATTCCCATCATCCCCACATGTCGTGGGAAGGACCCACTGGGAAGTAATTGAATCATGGGAGCGGTTATCCTCATGCTGTTCTTGTGACAGTGAGGGAGTTCTCATGAGATCTGATGGTTTTATAAGGGGCTTTTCCCCCTGTGCTCGGTGCTTCCCCTTCCTGCCGCCATGTGAAGAAGGACGTGTTTGCTTCCCCTTCTGCTATAATTCTAAGTTTCCTGAGGCCTCCGCGCCCTGCAGAACTGTGAGTCAATTAAACCTTTTTCCTTTATAAATTACTCAGTCTTGGGCAGTTCTTTATAGCAACATGAGAACAGACTAATACAAAGGCAGAAGAAACTCACAAGTGCTTTTTCAAGCCCTTGCTTACTGTCTGTGGGCCAAATGAAGTCACATGACTGAGTTCAAAGTTGGAGTGTGAGAGACTGGATGCAGAGAGGTCACTAACTGGGGCCTTTATAAGCTAACATATAACACAATATCAGGTTGTCTATTTTGTCATATTAAATTGATCAGTAGATTCAGGTGTTGCCTTCTCAATATGCCTATCTTTCAGGTAATGATGATACACCAATTCTATCATTACTTCTGCATTTATTGCCCTACACTTAAATTCTTCTGTAAAGGAGCACTTACCCCCTATAAATTATTTGCTTATGCTAAAATACAGGATGAATATGTATTTCCATGTATTTGTTATTTTCAGAATAGTGAATTGGTACCATAGCATTCCAAGGGGGCCAATGACTTTTTTAAAAAATTATCATTTTAAACTCATGGATTTTTAACCTATTTGAGAAATTTTGGTCCACTACAGTCATTATTCCTTTTCATACTTGATGTGGTTTGGCTCTGTGTCCTCCCCCATATCTCATCTTGAATTGTACTCCCATAATTCCCATGTGTTGTGGGAGGGACCCAGAGGGAGATAATTGAATCATGGGGGCGGTTTCTCCCATACTGTTCTCGTGGTAGTAAATAAGTCTCACAAGATCTGATGATTTGATAAGGGGAAACATGTTTAGCTTGGCTCTCATTCTCTCTCTTTCCTGCTGTGATGTAAGATGTGCTTTTTGCCTTATGCCATGATTCTGAGGTGTCTCCAGCCATGTGGAACTGTAAGTCCAATGAAACTTCTTTCTTTGGTAAATTGCCCAATCTTGGGTATGTCTTTATCAGTAGTGTGAAAACTAACTAATACAATATTCAAGCTGCCCCATCTTTTCCTAGTGGCAGTACCTTCAATTAGGCTCCTGTGTCTTTTTGATGTGATCCCAGATAGCCTTGTTGCTTCCTTATATGGCTAGATCTTCCAAGCTCATCCTGCTGCAGAGGTGGATTCAGCTGTTTCTCCAGAGAGTTCTGGTTCCTTTTACTGGGGAATATTTAAAGACTGCACAATATGGATTCTAGGAGATAGGAGTGTTAAACAACAGATTCTGTGTGAACAACATTGCAGTCTTGCAAATGTGGTAGACATGTAGGTGTAATCTGTTTGTCTTCTTTTGTAATATACTAACTTCCGCTTCATTCTTCTGGGAACAGCATTTCATCTTTTGGGACATTGCTTTTTTTCTCACTTTAGTCATTTGTTTTTAGTCATCACACTCTGCCTCTCCAGGTCTAAGCATAAGCATGTCACCAAAGTCCTCTGCCAGAATCTTTTGAACTGGAACAGGAGAAAGAATTAAGTTACCAACAAAATTTTGAGAGGTGCTGGAGCTGTCCATCAGCCATAATATCTACTGTGTGTAGGAGGCTGGTTTGATATCCCATATGGTTTGGCTCTGTGTCCCCACACAAATCTCATGTTGAATTGTAATTCTCAATGTTGGGGGAGGGACCTGGTGAAAGGTGATTGGATCATGGGGCGGATTTCCCCCATGCTGTTCTCATGATAGTGAGTTCTCACAAGATCTGATGGTTTAAAAGTGTGTGGCACTTCTCCTCTTGTGCACTCTCTTCTGCTACCATGTGAAGAAGGTGCTTGTTTCCCCCTTCACCTTCCGCTGTGATTGTACGTTTTCTGAGGCCTCGCAGTCATGCTTCCTATACAGCCTGTGGAACTGCGAGTCAGTTAAACCTCTTTTCATAAATTACCCAGTCTCAGGTAGTTGTTTATAGCTGTGTGAGAACAGACTAATATAACATCCTTGGTGAGTTCAGTGTCTATGGGGATATTCCATCTATTGCCTCTACCTCAGATATCTCTAACTTTCTCAAATGTGTTGGCTTGGACTTGTTGCCACTTTAGCCTCTCACTCCCATTACCATTATCTTAGAATGTTTCATTAACTGGAACTGCTCTGCCTCTGAAATTGTAACACTTGCAGCCACCTCACTGATCACAATCATTTCTTTCACCAGTGCTCTCACTTTGGTATTTATGATTCACAAATTTTATACCCTACTGAGATTGCTGGTCCCCTAACTTCTCAGGGTTCCTGCTATCTTCCCTTTCTAGCCTACCCTACAAAATGCCTATCTTTACTCATGCTCATTGTTCCTGGGTTCTTTTTCCAGAGCCTGCCTGCAGAAATGTCACTATAAAACAGTCCAACTCTCCCTTCTAATCTTGGGTCCTTTTGGAGAAAAGTACACAATAGTATGTGCCTATTAAAAAGCCACTAAAAATTCATGGTCTGAGGCCTCAGCTGAGATCTACTGTGTTGTCTGGCACTTTCCTCTCTGATATGGTTAGGCTTTGTGTTCCCATACAAATCTCATCTTGAATTGTGATCCCCATAGTCCCCAGGTGCAGAGGGAGAGACCTGGTGGGAGGTGATTGGATCATGGGGGCGCTGTTCCCCATGCTGTTCTCCTGATAGTGAGTTTTCACGAGATTTGGTTTTGTAAGTGTCTGATAGTTCCTCCTTCTCACGCTTGTTCTCTCTCACCTGCCGCCATGTTAAGATGTGCGTCAGGAGCTGGCCCCGCGGCTGCTGCTCTGCCCTTGATTGAGGTGCAGAGCAAAGTGAAGGGCTGCCCAGGTGAGGCCAGGCTGACTGAAAAAGATGGATACTACTATGCTGAATATGCGGAATCTGTTTGAGCAGCTTGTGCGCGGGGCGGAGATTCTCAAGGAAGGAAACGAACTCCAATTTATCCAGTTGGTGAAGGACTTTGAGGATTTCTTTAAAAAGTGGGAGAGGACTGACTATGAGCTGGGGAAATACAAGGATCTTTTGATAAAAGCAGAGACTGAGTGAAGTGCTCTGGATGTTAAGCTGAAGCATGCACATAATCAGGTGGATGCAGACATCCAAACGGAGAGCTGAGGCTAACTGCGAAAAGCTGGAGTAACAGATTCAGCTGATTGGAGAGATGTTCCTGTGTGACATATCTGGCAGCATTCAACTAAGCGGGGAGCAAAAATCAGCTTTGGCTTTTCTCAACAGAGGCCAACCATCCAGCAGCAATGCTGGGAACAAAAGACTTTAAATTAGCGATGAATCTGGTTCCATTTTATCAGGTATCAGCTTTGACAAGACTGATGAATCACTGGATTGCGACTCTTCTTTGGTGAAGACTTTCAAGCGGAAGCAGAGAGAAAAGAGGTGCTCTAGTAGCCGACAGTTTGTTGATGGTCCCTCTGGACCTGTAAAGGAAACTCGTTCCATTGGCTCCACAGTAGACCAGGGGGAATGAATCCATAGTTGCAAAAACTACAGTGACTGTTCCCAAGGATGGCGGGCCCATCAAAGCTGTGCCCACTATTGAGACTGTGCCATACTGGACCAGGAGCCAAAGGAAAACAGGTACTTTACAACCTTGGAACAGTGACCCCACCCTGAACAGCAGGCAGCTGGAGCCAAGAACTGAGACAATGTGGGCACGCCACAGAGTAACAGAGGGATGTGCCTGAATGACTTTGTCTCTAAGACGGTTATTAAACCTGAATTCTATGTTCCATGTGGAAAGCAGATAAAATTTGGGAAACTATCTCTGAAGTGTCAGGACTGTTGTGTGATCTCTCGTCCAGAATGTCGGGACCACTGTCCCCTTCCCTGCATTCCTACCCTGATAGGAACACCTGTCAAGATTGGAGAGGGAATGCTGGCCGACTTTGTGTCCCAGACTTTTCCAATGATCCCCCGCATTGTTGTGCATTGTGTAAATGAGATTGAGCAGAGAGGTCTTACTGAGACAGGCCTGTATAGGATCTTGGGCTGTGACAGCACAGTAAAAGCTGAAAGAGAAATTCCTCAGAGTGAAAACTGTACCCCTCGTCAGCAAAGTGGATGATATCCATGCTATCTGTAGCCTTCTTAAAGACTTTCTTCGAAACTTCAAAGAACCTCTTCTGACCTTTCGCCTAAACAAAGCCTTTATGGAAGCAGCAGAAATCACAGATGAAGACAACAGCATATCTGCCATGTACCAGGCTGTTGGTGAACTGCCCCAGGCCAACAGGGACACATTGGTTTTCCTCATGATTCACTTGCAGAGAGTGGCTCAGAGTCCATATACTAAAATGAATGTTGCCAATCTGGCTGAAGTCTTTGGCTCTACAATAGTGGCCCATGCTGTGCCCAATCCAGAACCAGTGACGATGTTACAGGACATCAAGTGTCAACCCAAGGTGGTCGAGCGCCTGCCTTCCTTGCCCCTGGAGTACTGGAGTCAGTTCTCAATAGTGGAGCAGAGAACATTGACCCCCTACATGTCACTGAAAACTCAAATGCCTTTTCAACACCAGATATTAAAGTGAGTTTACTGGGACCTGTGACCACTCCTGATCATCAGCTTCTCAAGACTCCTTCATCTAGTTCCCTGTCACAGGGAGTCTGTTCCACCCTCACAAAGAACACTCCCAGATTTGGGAGCAAAGGCAAGTCTGCCACTAACCTAGGAAGGCAAGGCAACCTTTTTGCTTCTTCAATGCTCAAGTGAAGTCACATCTACCTATTACTCCCAGCATTGATTGACTATAAGAAAGGATGCACCTGTACTCTCTGCTCTACAGCCTCCTCTTCTCATTACTATTTTTAGCATTCTCCAGGCTTTTACTCAAGTTTAATTTTGCATGAGGGTTTTACTAAAATTTTATATATCTCCCCTTCCTTCTCCTCGAGTCACATAATATCAGTACCTTGTTCTGGTCACTGTTGGGAGCTTTTAGATGAGACATCTTTCCAGGAGTAGAAGGGTTAGTATGGAATTGATTGTGATTCTTTTGGGGGAAGGGGGTTACTATCCCTTTGGCTTAAAGCCAAATGCTGCTCATGGAATGAACGATCTTTCTCTAGTTTCATTCAACTGATTTCCATGAGACAATGACAGAAACCCTACCTATCTGATAAGATTGGCTTGTCTCAGGGTGGGAAGTGGGAGGGTGGGGCGAAGAAAGGATTACACCAGAAGATTTAGGATGCCTCCTTCTAAGAACTGGAAGTTCTCATTCCCCATTATGAACTGAGCTATAATATGGAGCTTTCATAAAAATGGGATGCATTGAGGACAGAACTAGTGATGGGAGTATGTGTAGCTTTGATTTGGATGATTAGGTCTTTAATAGTGTTGAGTGGCACAACCTTGTAAATGTGAAAGTACAACGCATATTTATCTCTGATGTGCCATTGGCTGAACCTTGGGTTAATTTGGGGTCAAAGTCAGTTTTTCTTTTAAAATTGAATTCATTCTGATGCTTGACCCCCATACTCCCAACCTTGTCCAGTGGAGCCCAACTTCCAAAGGTCAATATGTCGTCCTTTGGCATCCCAACTAACAATAAAGAATAGGCTATAAGGGAAGATGGTCAATATTTTCTGTGGTAAGAAAAGCCACAGTCATTTTTTCTTTGCACTTTGGATGCTGAAATTTTCCCATGGAACACAGCCACATCTAGACAGATAGGAGGTTTTTCTTCTGTTAAAATTATTCTTAATTTCTGTAAAAATGATTTTCTTCTCTAGAATGTTTGACTTCATATTGACCCTTATCTGTAAAACACCTATTTAGAATAATATTTGGAAAAAAGTAAATAGCTTTTTCAAAATAGAAAAAAAAAAAAAAAAAAAGATGTGCCTCTTCCCCTCCTGCCATGATTGTTGTTAAGTTTCCTGTAAGTTACAAAGTTTCCCGTTGTAAGCCTTCCCAACCCTGCGGAACTATGAACCAATTAAACCCCTTTTCTTTATAAATTATCCAGCATTGGGCAGTTCTTTACAGCCGTGTGAAAACAGAATAATACATTCTACATTCTCTTACTTCTCAGATGGCTATTTCAGACCTTCCCCTAGCTCCTCTCCTCACTACAGCTTACTCTAGTCTCTTGCCCTCAATCTCAGCTGATGACCTCATTTTTAGCTTTCTGTTAACAATGACTCTGATTTGCTTTTAAGTGTCAGACACTGAGCAAGATGTTTTGAATGCATTATCGTATTTACACATCAAAATAGCGCTATGAGTTAGGGATAAATATCCCATTTCACCTAAGAGAAAATGGATTCTAAGAGAGGTTAAACAACTGTCCCATGAGTGTCCAGTATACTTGTATAACAAACCACCCCAGTTTATTGGCTTAAAATAATTAACTAGAATAATTTCCTATGAGTTCTGGGTCCATTGGCTGGTTCTGCTGCTCTGGACTGGACTCAGTCATGCATCTGCTGTCAGCTGGCAGGTCAGCTGGGATCTTGGGACAATCCTGCTTTATTCTATGTGGTCTCTTATCTCCTTCCATGGGCTACACCAGGTCTATTTTCACAGAAACCACAAGAGTCCATGAAATGAAGTAGAAACACCCAAATGTCCTTCAAGCCTCTGCTTGCTATCCTATGGGCTGAAGGAAGTCCCATGATTGAGCCCAGAGTCAGAATGAGAGTGAACTACAAAATTGTAGGGGGGAGGGAACTCATAAATTTGGACTATAAATGAAATTGATCTACCACACGTAGCTAATCAGTTGTACAGATGAATTTCAAACCCAGATCTCTTAACACAGAGCCCACTTTCTTTCCTCTATTCTCACGGCTTCTTCACCAAAAAAAACCCCAGAAATCATGAGGCAAGAATTCTAATGTTTTTCTTCCCCCTCCTCACAAAGTCTCTCTGAATCCATATATTTTTATCTCTTTTCTCTCATGTGAGGAAAAACTTTGCCCCTTCTTTGTTCAATTTTAATTGCCCCACTTGGACTATGGATCCTACTTCTTCCTTCCTCCTCAAGAACTTTGCTTCCTCAAACACCCCCATCTATCCTTGACCTTCAGCCTCTCCTCTGCAGTGCCCCTTTTCTCTCATCATATAAATATCCTTGACTCTTTCTTTTAACCACATGATTTCCTTTAGCTTTCCCTTTGTGTTTCTTCAACCTCCCCCTCTCCTCCTTTTACCTTCTATTGGCATTCAGCAGTCCATAAACTAGTTTCTGGCTCCCTTGCCCCCATGAAAAGAGGCTCTTGCCCAAGTCACTCATGATCAAGTTACTTTTTTTTTTTGGTCTGAGGCATTTTTAGAGTTAGTATATTAAGGTCGGTGAGGATAAGCTGTAGAAACCAACTCCTAAATCTTAATGGGATTACCCAATAAAAGTTTAGTTTTCATTTAGGTCATGATCTCCTCATGTATTTGCTTGTTGTCCTTCCTTGTGGTGACCCGGGGCCTTAGGCTCCTTTCATCTTGTGGCTCCACCATCTCCTACGGACTTAAGGCCCTCCACTGGAGCTCTGCATCTGGCAGCTGAGGAGTGAAGAGTGTAGTTGTTAGAAGGGGACAGGGCCAGCGAGAAATTTATCCTTCTACCTTTATTCCATCGGCCATAACACAGCCTGCAAGGAAGGCTGGAAAATACATTGTAGCTGTCTTCCAGTTGGAAAAATAAACTGGTGAGAATACAGCAGTTCTTTACCAAAGTCTGCCATCCTTCTTTCTGACACTCTCTCCTGTGTCTTCCATGGCACCATTCTCTCTTGGTTTGTCTTCAAATCCTGGCTGCTTATTTTCAGTCACGCACAGGTCCTCTTTCTTTTATTCACTTCCTTAAATGTTGGCATCCCCCTGCACTTTGTTCTTAAGTCATTTCTCTTCTCACTAAATATTCTCCCTGGAACATTCCATAAATAACCAGCAAATCTATCTCCATCTTTTTGTTCAGACCCCGATGTAAAACCTGCTGTTCTTCCTTTAAGTCTCCATTTTGGTAAGTGGGCATCTTCCCCGGTCACCAAACCAGAAAATGAAGTGATCCTACATTCAAGACCCTTATCCTCTATAACTGAGGGTCTCAGCCTCAGCACTACTGACATTTTGGGCCAGATAATTATTTGTTGTGGGAGAGGTTCTGCACATTGTAGGATGTTTAGCAGCATCCTTGGCCTTCAGCTGCTAGATACCAGTAGGGAACCCCTTCCCATGTTTATGACAATCTCAAAAAATATCCAGACATTGCCAAATGTCCCCTGGGGAGGGGGAGACTGTCTCCAGTTATCTCCAGTTAAGAACTGCCCTATAAAATCATCCAGTCCTACAGATTCAACCCTGGCAACATTTTCTTTCTTCATTTAAATCTTTTTGCCATTCATTTCTTTTTTTCTTTGAGACAAAGTTTCATTCTGTCACCCAGGCTGGAGTGCAGTGGCACAATAACAGCTCACTGCAGCCTTGACCTCCTGGGCTAAAGTGATCCTCCGACCTCTGCCTCCCAAAGTGCTAGAATTACAGGTGTAAGCCACCTCGCCTGACCCATTTCATTAAATTTCACATCATTTCGCCTCTAGATGTTTCCAATTGCCTCCTCTCCGGCTGTGGCAAGTTTGCTGACCCAACAGTAATTCTTGACTCAAATATTCCTTGCTACCATGCACTAAAGAAAAATGGAATACTTGTTTTTCGGCCTCATTTTCATCTAAGGATAGCCAGGTGACATGACGTTGCATGGAATATCAGGTTCATGAAGGGCAACTAGTTGAACTTAAAGGTTAACAGCAAAGCTTTGGAATCATCCAGCTTGGATCATTGCATCTCAGCCTCAACACTCTGATAGTTGTGCCGCCTTAGGAAAGTTACTTAAATTCTATGTGCCCATCAGTAAAACTGGGATAATAGTAGTACCAACCTTATAGTATTATTGTGAAGATAAATGAGTTAATATGTATAAAGTGTTTAGTATAGGCAAACCTTGTTTGTTTTATTCCACTTTGCTTCATTGTGCTTCACAGAAATTGCATATTTTACAAATTGAAGGTTTGTGTCAACCCTGCATGGCTATCACTGAGCAAGGCTATCAGTACAATTTTTCCAACAGCATGTGTTCACTTTGTGTCTCTGTGTCACATTTTGGTAATTCTTGAAATATTTTGAAAGTTTTCATTATTATTATATCTGTTATGGTGATCTGTGATCTTTGACATTATTAGTGTAATTGTTTGGGGGCACCAAGAACTGTGCCCATATAAGACAGTAAACTTAATTGATAAATGTTGTATGTGTTCTGACCACTCCACCAATTGGCTGTTGGCTGTTTTCCCACCTCTCTGCCTCTCCTCAAGCTTTCCTATTCCCTGAGACACAACAAGATTCAGCCAATTAATAAGCCTAGTTTGTAGGTGTTCAGGTGAAAGGAGAAGTCACACAACTCTCACTTTAAATCAAAAGCTAAAAATGATTAAGCTTAGTGAGGAAGGCATGTCAAAAGTCAAGACAGGCCAAAAGCTAGGCCTCTTGCACCAAACAGCCAAGTTATGAATGCAAGTGCTACTCTAGGGAACCCACACATGATAAGGAAATAAAAGAGCCTTATTGCTGATATAGAGAAAGTTTAAGTGGTCTAGATAGAAGACCGAACCAGCTACAATATTTCCTTAAGCCAAAGCTTTAACCAGAGAAAGGTCCCAACTTTCTTCAATTCTATGAAGGTTGTGGGAGGTGAGGAAGCTACAGAATAAAATCTGAAACTAACAGAAGTTGATTCATGAGGTTTAAGGAAAGAAGCCATCTCCATAACACAAAAGTGCAAAAGTGAAGTGCCAAGTGCTGATGAAGAAGCTGAAGCATGTGTTCCAGAAGATCTAGCTAAGATCATCAATGGAGGTGGCTACACTAAACAACAGGTTTTCAATGTAAATGAAACAGTCTTCTGTTAGAAGAAGATGCCATGTAGGACTTTCATAGCCAGAGAGGAGAAGTCAGTGCCTGGCTTCAAAGCTTCAAAAGACAGGCTGACTCTCTTGTTAGGGGATAATGCAGCCGGTGACTTTAAGTTGAAGCCAATGGTCATTTACTCTTATGAAAATCCTAGGGCCCTTAAGATTTCTTTCAAAATATTACTGCTGATTGACAATGCACCTCCTCATCAAAGAGCTCTCATGGAACTATATAAGGAGATTAACGTTGTTTCCACTTTGCTAATACAATATCCCTTCTGCAGCCCATGGATCAAGGAGTCATTTCAACTTTTAAGTCTTATTCTTTAAAACAATTTGTAAGGCTATAGCTGCCACAAAGATGATTTCTCTGATGGATCAGGGCAAAGTAAATTGAAAACATTCTGGAAAGGATTCACCATTCTAGATTCCATTAAGAACATTCATGATTCATGGGAAGAGGTCAAAATAATATTAAGAGAAGTTTAGCATAAGTTAATTCCAACCTTCATGCATTACTTTAAGGGGTTCAACACATTAGTGGAGGAAGTAACTGCAGATGTGCTACAAGTAGCAAGGGAACTAGAATTTAAAAATGGAACCCGAAGATGTGACTGAATTGTCCCAATCTCATGATCAAACTTGAACAGATGGGGAGTTGCTTCTCAGTGATACGCAAAGAAAGTGG
Source organism: Homo sapiens (assembly GCF_000001405.40). Classification (NCBI taxonomy): domain Eukaryota; kingdom Metazoa; phylum Chordata; class Mammalia; order Primates; family Hominidae; genus Homo; species Homo sapiens. The sequence continues at coordinate 45,057,592 of NC_000012.12, read as the reverse complement.
GTTCTTGAGATGGAATCTGTTGGTGAAGATACTGTGAGCATTGTTGAAACAGCCACAAAGGATTTAGAACATTGCATAAACTCATTTGGTAAAGTAGTGGCAAGGTTTAAAAGGATTGACTCCAATTTTGAAATAAGTTCTACAATGGGTAAAATGCTATGCTATCAACTAGCATTTCATGCTATAGACAAATCTTTCCTGAAAGAAAGAGTCCATTGGTGTGGCAAATTTCATTGCTGTCTTATGTTAAGAAATTGCCACAGCTACCTCAATCCTTAGCAATTACCACCCTGGTCAGTCAGCAACCATCAATGTCAAGGCAAGACCTTCCACCAGCAAAAATATTATAACTCGCTGAAAGATCAAATGAACGTTAGCACTTTTTAGCAATAAAGTATTTTTAAATTAAGGTATATACTTTTTTAAAGACATAATGATATTGCACACTTAACAGACTACAGCAGAGTGTAAACATAACTTTTACATGCTCTGGAAAACAAAAAAAAAGTGTGACCTGCCTTTTTTTGATATTCACTTTATGGTGGTGGTCTAGAACTGAATTCACAATATCTCTGAGGTATCCTGTACTGTGCCTGGCTGCATGGTGACTATGATATGGTGATGACAATAATCATGTAGTCACTCTTTTCCCTGCTCAATCTCAAATTTTACTACTTCACATCCTATCCCCAACCACTATTCACCTTTAATATTCAGTTCAGGGCCCAGCGCAGCAGCTCATGCCTGTAATCCCAGCACCTGGGGAGACCCAGGTGGGAGGATTACTTGACCGAGGCCAGGAATTCCAGAAGTTCAAGAATTGTGTCTGCACTCCAGTCTGGGTGACAAAGTCAGATTCGGTCTTTAAAAAAAAAAAAAAAAACTCAACAACAACAAGAAAACTCAGTTCAGTGAGACTGCCTTTACTTTTATTTTTTTTATATCCATACGTTATTGGGGAACAGGTGGTGTTTGGTTACCTGAGTAAGTTCTTTAGTGGTGATTTGTGAGAATTTGGTGCACCCATCACCTGAACAGTATACATGGCACCAAATTTGTAGTCTTTTATCCCTCACTCCCTACTCAGACTTTCCCCCTGAGTCCCCAAAGTCCATTGTGTCATTCGTATGCCTTTGCATCCTCATAGGTTAGCTCCCATATATGAGTGAGAACATACAACGTTTGGTTTTCCATTCCTGAGTTACTTCACTTAGAACAGTCTCCAATCTCATCCAGGTTGCTGCAAATGACACTAATTCATTCCTTTGTATGGCTCAGTAGTATTCCATCATATACATATATATATATATATATATATATATATATATATATATATATATGTTGGAATATATATATGGAACGTGTGTGTGTATATATGTATATGTATATACCACAGTTTCTTTATCCATTCATTGATTGATGGGTATTTAGGTTGGTTCCACATTTTTGCAATTGCGAATTGTGCTGCTATAAACATGCATGTTCCTATAATGACTAGTTTTCCTCTGGGTAGATACCCAGTAGTGAGATTGCTGGATCAAATGGTAGTTCTACTTTCAGTTCTTTAAGGAATGTCCACACTGTTTTCCACAGTGGCTGTACTAGTTTACGTTCCCACCAGCAGTGTAGAAGTGTTCCCTGTTCACCACATCCATGCCAACATCTATTTTTTTTTATTATTATGGCCAGTTTTGCAGGAGTAAGGTGGTATCGCATTGTGGTTTTGATTTGTATTTCCCTGATCATTAGTTATGTTGAGCACTTTTTCATATGTTTGTTGGGCATTTGTATATCTTCTTTTGAGAATTTTCTATTTACGTCCTTAGCCCACTTTTTGATGAGATTGTTTTTTTCTTGCTAATTTGTTCGAGCTCGTTATATATTCTGGATATTAGTCCTTTGCCAGATGTATAGTTTGTAAAGATTTTCTCCCACTCTGTGGGTTGTCTGTTTACTCTGCTGACTGTGCCTTTGCTGTGCAAAAGCTCAGCAGTCCCAGCTCTTTAGTCCCAGCTATTTATCTGTTTTTGTTGCATTTGCTTTTGGCTTCTTGGTCATAAAATCCTTGCCTAAGCCAATGTCTAGAAGGGTTTTTCCAAGGTTATCTTTTAGAATTTTTATCGTTTCAGGTCTTAGATTTAAGTCCCTGATCCATTTGAGGTGATTTTTATATAAGGTGAGAGGTGAAGATCCAGTTTCATTCTCCTACAGGTGGCTAGCCAATTATCCCAGCACCATTTGTTGAATAGGGTGTCCTATCCCCACTTTACGTTTTTGTTTGCTTTGTCAAAGAGCAATTGGCTGTAAGTATTGGGGTTTATTTTTGGGTTCTCTATTCTGTTCCACTGGTCTATGTGCCTATTTTTATACCAGTAACATGCTGTTTTGGTGACTGTGGCCTTACATAGTTCGAAGTCAGGTAATGTGATGCCTCCAAATTTGTTCATTTCGCGTAGTCTTGCTTTGGCTATGTGGGCTCTTTTTTAGTTCCATACGAATTTTAGGATTGTTTTTTCTAATTTTGGGAAGAATAATGGTGGTATTTTGGTAAGAATTGTGTTTAATTTGTAGATTGCTTTTGGCAGTATAGTCATTTTCACAATACTGATTCTACTCATCCATGAGCATGAGATGTGTTTCCATTTGTTTGTGTTGTCTATGATTTTTTCCAGCAGCTTTTTGTAGTTTTCCTTGTAGAGGTCTCTCACCTCATTGGTTAGATACATTCCTAAATATTTTATTTTATTTTTTTGCAGCTATTGTAGAAGAGGTTGAGTTCTTGATTTGATTCTCAGCTTGGTCGCTGTTGATGTATAGAAGAGCTACTAATTTGTGTACATTAATTTTGTATCTGGAATCTTTGCTGAATTCTTTTATCAGTTCTAGGAGCTTTCTGGAGGAGTCTTTAGGGATTTTTAGGGAAACAATCCTATCATCAGCAAACAGCGACAGTTTGACTTCCTCTTTGCTGATTTGGATGCCATTTATTTCTTTCTTTTGTCTGATTGCTCTGGCTAGGACTCCCAGAACTACGTTGAAGAGAAATGGTGAGAATGGGCATCCTTATGTTGTTCCAGTTCTCAGAAGGAATGCTTTCAACTTTTCCCCATTCAGTATTATGTTGGCTGTGGGTTTGTCAGAGATGGATGGCTTTTATTACGTTGAGATATGTCCCTTGTATGCTGCTTTTGCTGAGAATTTTAATCATAAAGGAATGCTGGATTTTGCTGAATGCTTTTTCTGTGTCTATTGAGGCGATCATGCAATTTTTGTTTTTAATTCTGTTTATGTGGTGCATCACATTTACTGACTTGCATGTTAAGCCATCTCTGCATCCCTGATATGAAACCCACTTGATCATGGGGGATTTTTTTTTTTTTTTTTTTTTTTTTTTTTTTTTTTTTTTTGCTGTCTTGTTGGATTTGGTTAGATAGTATTTTGTTAAGGATTTTTGCATTTATGTTCATCAGAGATAATGGTCTGTAGTTTTCTTTTTTGGTAATGTCCTTCCCTGGTTTTGGTATTAGGGTGATCCTGGCTTCATAGAATGATTTAGGGAGGATTCCCTCTTTATCTTGTGGAATAGTGTCAATAGGATTGGTACCAATTCTTTGGATGTCTGGTAGAATTCTGCTGTGAATCCATCTGGTACTGGAATGTTTTTGTCAGTAAATTTTAAATTGCCATTTCAATCTCACTGCTTATTATTGGTCCGTTCAGGATATCTAATTCTTCCTGATTTACGCTAGGATGGTTGTATCTTTCCAGGAATTTATCCATCTCCTCTAGGTTTTCTAGTTTGTGTGCATAAAGATATTCATAGTAGCCTTAAATGATGTCTTGTATTTCTGTAGTGTCAGTTGTAATATCTTCCATTATGTTTCTAATTGAGCTTGCTTGGATTTTCTCTTTTCTTTTCTTGGTTATTCTTGCTAATGGTCTATCAATTTTATTTCTCTCTCCAAAGAACCAGCTTTTTGTTTCATTTATCTTTTGTCTTTTCTTTGTTTCAATTTCATTCAGTTCTGCGATGATCTTGGTTATTTCCTTTCTTCTGCTGGGTTTGGGTTTTGTTCTTGCTTCTCTAGTTCCTTGAGGTGTGACCTTAGATTGTCTGTCTGTGCTCTCTCATACTTCCTGATGTAGGTATTTAGGGCTATGAACTTTCCTCTTAGCAAGCCTTTCTTGTATCCCAGAGGTTTTGACAGGCACCTAATACTGGAGCTCCTAATTTTATAAAACCATTACTAATAGACCTAAGAAATGAGATAGATAGCAACACAATAGTAGTGGAGGGACTTCATACTCCACTGATAGCACTGGACAGGTCATCAAGACAGAAAGTCAGCAAAAAAACAATGGATTTAAACTATATCCTGGAACAAATGGACTTAACAGATATTTACAGAACATTCTACCCAACAACCGCAGAATATACATTCTATTTATCAGTGCATAGAACTTTCTCCAAAATAGCCACAATAAATTAAAGAAAATTGAAATTATATCAAGCACTCTCTCAGATCACAGTGGAATAAAACTGAAAACCAACTCCAAAGGGAACCTTCAAAACCATGCAAATACACGGAAATTAAATAACCTGCTCCTGAATGATCATTGGGTCAAAAATGAAATCAAGATGGAAATTAAAAAATTCTTCGAACTGAATGACAATACAGACTGTCTTTAGAAAGTTTTCTCTCACGTTTTTCCTTCCAAATTAGAAGTCCTTCCTCAGATGTTACTTGTTTTTCTCCTCCCAGTAGGCTGTGAATTCCCATGAGGCAAGGACCAGATCTTTCTTCTATGTATTCCCAAAACCACCACAAGTGTTCAATAAATATGAAATGCTCAGTAAAGGTCTGCTGACTAACTCAACAAGTGAATGAACATCGGTAGTATAAATCAGTCTTGCAAATAACTTTCCTCCCATTTAGCGGCACGTCATAAAATTGTCCACCAGCTTAGAAAAAAAAAACAAACTTCATTAATTTAGTTACCTACGCTCATCTTTGATGAAGCTGGGCATTTAAATTCACCATAAGGTGAACTTAAAAAGAATATTTATCTTACTAACCTGGCAACTCTGGCTAGCTTTTAACTAAATTGAGGCCAGAGACCAAATTATTCTTAGGATAAAGAGGAAAAATATAATGTGACTCCAAACTTCACAGGCATCCTTAAAAAATCTCATTCAGAATAAATTCATCTAAATTTGGACAGGAGAGTAGCAATGGTAAGTGTTAATTGGCAGAGAGTTCACAGTTTTAACACTCCACTGTTACAGAGTTTCCTAAAGGAGCAGCCTTCCCAAAGTCATCTTGTGGTTAAAAAGCAAGCTTTATTTACACACACACACACACACACACACATACACATACACACACAACCATGCTTTTCATCTGTCCAGTTCCCACTTAGCAAACTGTTAATAAATTTTAAAATACTTAAATTTTCAGAAGAAAAAAAAAGACCAGCTGTAATCCTAAGTAACGCAGTGTTTTCATCCCCGTCTCCCTGCAGAGACGTACACAACTACCAATGTCTAGGAGGACCTGGTGGTGGTTTTTTCCCTCTAGGTTTTGGACGCAACCATCTGTCATCTGGCATTTAACCAACTCCGACTATGAGCTCCTTCTCTAGATCAAAACGTATTAGATCCTCTCTTCTAGAGTGAAGGAGCTGTATGCAGCTCTCCCCACAATCCTTAAAAACAAATCTTATTAAAAGGTGACCGGAAATGAGTCACTGGAAACAGAAATTTCTTAAAAGGTCTCCGAGAAAAACACATCTCCTTCTCCCTTATAACATAAGGGCCTCGTTTAATACGCAAACAACCCACTCTTTCAGAGGTAACTTTTCAAGGGCGGCACAGCTACAACAGTCTCGGTGATACCTTCCACTGACCCTGATAACAGCCCCTCCAGCCACTAGCGACTCCGTTTACTTCCCCTGGAAGCCCATCAGTTGCTCAAGTGACAACCAACACCGGAGAGCCAGGGTTCGCCCAACAGGAGTACGCGGAGACACCCCAGACGACAGCGCGTCCCCCCCACCCCCACCCCGCCCTCCGGGCGCTCCAGGCCAGCGTCCACCAGACCCCACGCCTGGGGGACTGCTTGGGCTCTAGCGAGAGTGCCACGGCTCTGCACGGCAGCGGGGAGGTGGCGAGCGCGCCCGATTCACGTCGCCTCCACGCCCACCTCCTCCCACTACGAGTCCCCTCCCCTTGCCACAGCACTACCCTTATTGTTGGCCGCGTCTGTCACTTTGTGGGGCTGGTGACATGAATGGATGGGCTGGACACACCTTCCGTCCGTCCAGAAAAAAACAAAAAACAAAAAAAAAACCCGTCCAGATCTGCATAGAGAGGGGGAAAGACTCCCCCCTGCGCTCCCAGAGCCTACGCTGTCGGCCAGAGAAACTCACAGCTTCCCCCTCCCACACTCACTCCTCCCATCCCTTAAAAAAACGCCCAACGCAAATAAATAATATCGTTCCAAGTCCGCCGCCGTCCCGGGTGGCCTTTCCTCCCTGCCTGGCTCCGCGCGCTCCAGCCCTGCGGGAGGCGGCGGCGAGAAGCTGCGGCTCTGGGTGCGGTGCGGGGCGCCCGGGCGACAGGCGGGCGCAAGGCGGGCGCGCAGCAGACCGGTTGGCGCCGCACTATGCTCCCCAGCGCGGTCGCAGCCCACGCCGGTGCGTACTGGGACGTTGTGGCTTCCTCCGCGCTCCTCAACCTCCCCGCTGCGCCCGGCTTTGGCAACCTGGGCAAGAGTTTCCTGATCGAGAATTTGCTGCGGGTCGGGGGCGCCCCAACGCCCAGGCTGCAGCCGCCCGCGCCCCACGACCCGGCGACCGCCCTGGCCACCGCGGGCGCGCAGCTCCGGCCCCTGCCTGCTAGCCCAGTTCCCCTAAAGCTGTGCCCCGCAGCCGAACAAGTTAGCCCCGCCGGGGCGCCCTACGGAACGCGGTGGGCTTTTCAAGTGCTCAGTCCCTCTGCGGACAGTGCGAGGCTGCCGGGCCGGGCTCCGGGGGACCGAGACTGTACCTTCCAGCCTTCAGCGCCAGGTGAGCCAGCTCTCCCCTCCCTCCCCAGCCGCGCCCGCGCCCCCAGGCCGGGTGGTCCAGGGATCTGGGAGCGCCGGCGGTGCGCACTGCGCCCAGGGAGAGCCGGTTTGGGAACTTCCTGGAGCATCTCGAGCTTTAGTGGAGATGCCACTTCGGGAGTAGGGGGCCCAGGCGGAGGCACACCACTTTCTGTGATTCTTTTTTGCCCCATCCCATCCCATTCCACCAGCTTCTTTGCTGTTCCCTTCTTTCAACAGGTGGTAGGGCTGCTTAACTTTTTGGCCTTAACTGGGAAACTCTGAGGGTTCTACGGCCTGCCTGGATCAGTCTCAAGGGGTTTCACCAAGTTCAACGTTTCTAACCTGCCCGGTCCTGTTTCCCGGGCTGCACGACACCAGCTCTCAGAAAAGTTCTTGACAAGGAGAGCTTTGCGCGGCCCAACTTGGGGAGATTTTGCCACTGAAACTGTTAGGATGGTCGGGGTAGCTCAGGAACGCGCGCAAAGATCTTTGGAAGGAGAGTTGCGCAAAGTTCTGGCTTTCTCCACTCTTAAATTTTGGATCACTTTAGGCGCAAAGAAATGAAGGCCGACTTTTTATTTGTGCTGAGCTGAAAAACAGCTGAATTGGCAACTGGAGTAGGAAGTTCACCAATAAATAAGAATTTACCGAAAGAAGGGCAGTTTGGGTTTATTTTAATCACCGTATAAAACCTAACTAGTGGGACTGGGAAGAAGGATGCCGACAATTTAGTCAAATATTAGCAAATATTATGTAGGGCTTCCTGAAATTGTCAGTGATAAAAGGGAAAAGCCTCTTAGAGACTCAGAAACTGAGACCCAATTGGATTTTTTTTTTTTTTTGGCTGCGTCCTTAAACGATCTTAACTCATTCTTTTAATCCCGATGGGTTTGTCCAGAATGACTAATAGACGCTTTTTCAGCAGTTTCCATTGTCCCAGCAAACTGCCGGATCAAATTTATTGCTAATGGCTTTATAGAATTTAACATGTTTAGAACCTGTCTTGGTCTTTCACTTTGAAATGGTTACTAACAGAATGGAACAAATATAACTATATGAACACCGGTCTCATTCACCTAGTGTAAAACCTAAATGCTAGGGAACCTTTTTTGCACCCTGAAAGAGGAACAAACAGTTAAGGCAAAGTTTATGGAAATTTGGGCCTCTCTGTTCTTTTTGAAGTATTAGAAAAATTAGGCATAAAGCAGATTCACTTGGAAGAGAGTTAATAAATTAAATTTCATAAAAATAACATTTTCCAGAAAATTTGTTGATTTGCATAACTTTTGGTGGCTTGGCATTGTGTTGATAGAAGTTATTTTTCAAGGATTCCTAAGCTTTTTCTAATCATAATTGTCTCCGCCATGAAAAGATATTTAATTTTAACCTTTGCAGATTTCACAGATTACATTTAAATAAAATAAATGCAAATCAAGTGCAGTTATTTCAATAACCCTAAAAAATAATTTACTATACTTATTTCAAAATATTGCAACTAAAGGTTAAAAGTTTTCCTAAGTACATTCTTTTTATTTTCAAGAACATATTCATTCTTGTACACTTAACCAAAGTGTCCAATTGCAAACATTGTTTTTGGAATAATTACGAGGGTTGTAAGAATTTATATTCCCTTTTGAAGTATTCTAATACAGTTTAAGCATGTATTTTTCCAAATATTTTATTCAACACTCATTGAAGATATGATGTTCTAGATTAATTTTCATTTGAACAAACAACCTTTGTTTTTTAACAAATTATTCTTGTAAAGAAAACATTAGTTTCTGAAACTAGAAAAATATCTAAAGAAGAAAACTAAAATCTCATTAATTTGACCCCACAAATATGCTGCTTAAAAACCAGAATTTATATTGATTTATTTTTATAATTGGATAAAGAATGTAGTTTTCTGAACATTGCCCCGGTTTTATTTAAATTACAGATTCTTGCCTTACCAAATGTGGGAATTATTTTATGCAGTGTACAATTATGAAATTATAATGGACTGCCAACAATTTTTTCTATCAGGTGGAAATTAGGTGAGGATGAAATAGTGATTTGGTGTTCTGGGGACAGCATAAGAGTTGGAGAAGCTTTGTTTTCGGGAAGATAATACCATATTTTTCTGAAATGTTATCCAACAACCAGTTCTGATCCTTTAGACACTAACTTGGGAGTGGAACACAAAATCTGATTTTAGTAATTTCTGCATGTTGACTACCCCCTTTTTTCCCAGACTTAATTTGTTGAGTGCACCACATCTAAATTTGAATAAGAAAGCCCCAGAGTTATTTTTAAGTTCATTGGTGAAATATAGCACCGTTTAACTGCGGGATTTATGCTTCTGCATGCATTTTGGTTTCATTATTTTTCGTTATTTTTTGTTACCTACTATTAAATATACCATATATTTCATTCATTCAGCACATGCTTACTGAGTGTCTCCCATGTATCAGGCTCTGTTCTAGGCCATTGGCATAATCAGTTAACAAGACAGATGACTGTCTCGGCCCTTGTAGAGCTTACATTCCATGTTCTGTACTGCTTTATAGGTTAGCAGCCATTTTCAAAATAGCTCCTTTAATCCTCCTAATAAGCTAATGAGGTGGCTATGGAGATTCCAGTTGTTTTTCTCAATGACTATTTCATTTGCTCATTTTGTTTTTGTCCCAAGTAGCACTTTAATCATATATGAACTTGTGATAGAGAAAAAATTGCCCAAAATCTTCAGAGTCCTAACCTTAGGTTAGTCTTCCATTGACTAGAAGAAAATAATGAGGGCCAATTGGATCACCAATTACATAGTATCACAATAATAAATCAGATTGTGATTTTGCCCCTCAGCCCATAATGGAAGAAATTAGCTTTCCCTTTCCTCTTGTTATGAAATATATTTGAAAGGTGGTGACAGTTAAACACAGTAACACAGATTTACAGGTCATGGATGAAAGTAGAGTTGTCAGTGCTTCATCCCTGAAAATTGTTAAGTTTGAGTATTTACAGCAAGAAAAGCCACACTCCATAGCTATATGTTGTCAAGTTGTTTATATAGAATAGTTTTAAAACTCTAAAAATCAAAGGGCTCAGGGCTAGGGAGGGGCACATTTAGGGCAATATTGGGTAGGAAATAGGTTCTCCTCCAGGGCTTACATCTGAAAAAAGAAAAAATGTCATGGTTGTATTATAGTTTATTAGTGGAAACCAGGAGGTTTTTTGAGTAAACTCTGATTATTAGACATCCTTCCTCAGAAGTTTCCTGATGCCATTATTTGTGACAATATTTGGAAAATATTATGCCTGATTAAAATATTCATGTCTGTATATAAAAGAGGGCCTCAAAATGTAAAATGCTGAAAGATTTAAATTCTCCTGGCTACAGAATGATATCAGTTTTCCAATTGGTGGTTATGCCATCAATTCTCTTCAAAATAAGTGGAACAAATAGTCATGTTTATTAATAACATTTGTTATTTTAAGCATTTTAGAAAATGTTTGACATAAAAATAATTTCCTGAATATAATTTCCTTTATTGTTTATTAAATCTATTCTTCTGCTGCATATGAAAGGATTGGAAAGCAAATGTTCATTCTGGATAGGTGAATTGAGCTGCTGTTTTAAAAAGTAGTTTTGCCAAGTAAGTCATTCTGTGTAGTAAAGAAATAAAAGAGCATTAGTATTTTTTTTTCTGGCATCCGGTTAGGATTGTTTCTGACCATCAATACTTAATGTGCACTCTAGTTTTCTTGTCTGTCTCCCAATCCCAAGTACTGTTTACCCATTAATTGTTGACTGTCTGAAACTATTCACACTTATGTCTGGTGCTGCAAACGGTAGTTTTTTCCTCCACTGAGATACACTGAAAGTGTGAAATAAAATGGCCTCTTTTACATTTTAGGCACCTACGCAAGGGAGAAAAGGGATTTGTGCTCAAGGTGGGGATTGCATTCTAAGTAAAGACTTTGTGATCTTATTTTTTAAGTCCGAATTTGAGCTTTCTGTTGCTGACACTATGGTTTAGATTCATTTTGACAAATTAAAATCATAGAATTTTGAGTGTTGATGATGCTGATTCAGAACCAGGATGACAACAGGGGATTCCGAATGGGATAGTGATGGGACCTATGCTAGTCCATCACTTTGCTGAGGCCATCACTCCAGTCATCCTTTGGTGGAATTTTTTGAGAATACCAGAACCATATTCTTTCCATATCTGTATATTTTTCTGTAATCTGCTCAACATACCTTTTTATTTAAAACTAACATATTAATAACTTTTACCTAGTTCATGAGTAATCAGCTCTGTGGTCCCTAAGTTAATAAACACCTTCAGGTTCAAGGAGAAGTTCTTGCAGTGGATAAAATAAAAGAGACTATTAGAACCAATATCTCTGTCTCTCCTTTGCCCCAACACATGCTTCTCTTCTTTGCTCTAACAACAAGCAAATTTCAATCTGGTAATATGTACTAAAACTCTTGAGGTTTAATAATAAAACAGGAGTACATGGAGCAGGCAAATAAGAAGGTTTTAGAACTTTCCACTTACTTAGCTCCATTCCTTTAGGGATTTGAGGGTTATTTTAAGGGGTACGATGGTTTGAATGCCTGTAAATTTATGTATGGACTTACATAGAATTAAACGTAGAATTTAGAGTGTTCAGGGTTATGCTACATAAAGTCAAAAGGATGCCGTATGTTTTGGGCAATTTAAAGGGATTTCTGTGATTGCACCACTGCACTCCAGCCTGGGCAACAGAGCGAGACTCTGTCTAAAAAACAAACAAACAAACAAATAAAAAAACAAAGGGATTGCCAAGGGTGATTTTATTTATATTTGTTTGCCATGGATGTGGTTCAGATATTGGAACCTAAGCTGTGCTTAGACTCCATGATAGTTCTCTTTGGGTGTGCCACCTCCTTCCTGTTCTTAGTGACCACCAGATGTCTTTTTCCTGTAAGAAGATATTTTACAGTTAGATTTGCTGCTGAACGATGAGAGAAATGGTAGCAACTTAAAAGTGAAGGACACAACATCCATGCATGATTTCTGTTTAATCGTGTTCATAAAATCCTTTGAGATTCTTTGCTATGAAAGTTTATACAAAAATGAAATGTTATTTAAAACATTTAAACAAATGTGTTCTTATGTTAGGGTGGGCATTAAATACAAAGATCTTTTGAGGGTCTTGCTTTGCAGCCCTTAATACAGTGTTTGTCTACTTAATTTTCGGTTAGAAGAAGCTCTAAGTAAAGTTTTTCTAATTACAGTAGTTTTTCTTTATATATACAATGAAAGGACACAACTTTTAAGTCAGTTTAAATAACTGAGTTTTCGTTCAAATACACCTGGAGTCTGTCAGGAATAAAAAGGCAAGTTGTAAAATGAAACAATATGATTTTTATCTAGGAATGCTTGTTAGAATCCTCATTTTAGACTTTATTAGATCATGTTTCTATTTTATACTCTCTTAGTAAGAAATTGGATTTTTGCCTTAACATATAACATACTTACCAGGCCCTTGTATATTTTATTCCAAAATGTTTTATTTTACTTTCAGTAATGTTTCCACTTTTAATGAAATCTCTCTCTTTCATTCTTTTTAGCCTCCAGTCAATACTTAACTTGGCAATGCTGAGTGATCCATCACTCTATATAAAGTTACCATAGCTGATTTCATTTTTAATAGGATTATTCATTTTGTCAACCAGCTATTAGTTGAGAATATGTCAGGGGCACACTTTTGTGAGGTATGTGAACAGTCAACTTAAGGTACTAAAATTGTCTCTGAAACCAAAGATCAAAAAGCCTATAGGAGTTTTTAGACTTTTAGAACCAAAGCATTCAGGAAAAGGAAAGGAAAACAAAAAGGTTGCGTCTTTTTGTAAAAATTGCTGACTATTTTAATGCCTTCTTGTTTATAAATGATGCACAGATGACTAGATTTTTCACTTTTCTTTCACGTGTTCAGGGACCATGCCATAACAACCTTAATTTTTTGTTAACTCTAAGCGACCATCAGAAATAGAATATATAGATTTCCACAAAGCCTCTTGAAAAGGCTCAAAATTTCTTGTTCTTTAAAACCTTAAGTCTCTATTATTTTTAAAATTAAAATATGTGAAGGAGTTAATAAGTCATTCTTTGAGAAAATTTATGTACATTAAAAAAGGAATAAAAACCGTGACTGCTGGCAAGTTTTTAATAGATAACCTAGGGCTGGATTGAGTTTAGGTCTATTGAACAAGTTTTGTGGTTATATTGGGTCTGAAACAAAAAAAGACCATCTGATTGTTTAAAGCTAGAACAGAATGACACCTATTTGTTTACATATTTTCTATAGCTGCTTTTCTATTGAATAGTCATAATGGAGACTGTGTAGCTCACAAAGCATAAAGTATTTACTATCTTGCTTTTTATAATAGAAGTATGCCAGCGCTTGCTCCAACGTGTAAATGGCAAATTGGTTAAATTTAAAACTACCTATAGCTCTCTGAGCATTCCTGTATTTAAAAGTCTAGATTCAAGGTCTTCAGATTACTGATTCTGTAACCATAAGGAATTCATATAACCTCACAGAGCCTCTCTTTCCTCATTTCAAAATGTGAACAGTGGTAGAGTCAGCATTTGACTTTAAAGCACATACCTCAAAAGCGCACTGGTAAGATACAGGAAAAGATGTGCAGGACTCCTTCCCACCATTTCACCATAAGCAAATTATTGGTAAAAGGGGCGTTGTGTATAAGAAACCATCCCAAAACTCAGTGGCTTGAAGAACAATTTATTATTTTCTCTTACAGTTTTGTGGGCTGACTGGGCTCAGTTGGGTGGTTCCCACTTAGAATCTTGAGTGATGTTAGATGTCAACTGGGACTAAACTCATGGGAAGGTTTGACTGAGCTGGATGTCCAAGATGGCTACTCACATGGCTGGCACTGATGCCATCTGTTGACTGGTTGCTCAACTGGAGCTGTTTATTGCAGCATTCACACTTGGGCTTTCCAAGTTTCTTGGCCTTTCTATAGCAGAGTGGCTGGATTCTGAAAGGGAGAACACCAAGAGCACACATTCCAAAAACCCATGTGGCTTTGGAACTTTGGACATTCTGATACTTCCAATACTAGGTCATATGAAGCCTTGCAGTTTCTTACGACTTAGTCTTGGAAGTGACATTCTGGAACTTCATAAGACTTAGTTGCAGAAGTTTCAGAGTGTCATATCTGCCATGTCTCTTGGTTAAGCAAGTCACCAAGGCCATTCCAAATTCAAAGGAAGAAGAAACAGACCTCACCTTTCAATGGAAGGAGTACCAAATAATTTGTGATCATTTAAAATCTGTCCCAGGGTGAAATCAAGATAACCAATATCAGATACACTTCCTGCTAGGTCTGTCTTCTGCTGGAGTAGACCAATGCAGGAATTAATCACACAGAGTGGTATAGCCGGGAGCTCAGGGAACCTTCACAAAGGCTTATAGTATTCTCTTCTGTGACATAGACTTTATAATAAAAAGAGCAAGGAATCTCCTCGAGTTTAGATCATTTTTTCAGAGCGGTCTAATTGAGACTCCCTGAAGGGTAAGGCAGCAGAGGTGATGACCCTGGGCACCTGTGATGGTCATGGTGAACTAACGTCCCACAGCTGGAGGGAAGCCAGACTCTGTCAACTTGTTGGTGTTGTGAGGATAGATAAGATGTTGCTGGAAGTGTTCACACAAATGCTTGTCATCACCTGTTGCTACAGCATGTTGTTACTGCATAGCAGCTTTCCCTTTGGCCCTTCTTTATTCCGCTGCATCCCGTCCACCACTGCCAGGTGAACTTTTCTCAAATGTAGTGTTCATCATGTCACCAAGCTATTGAGGAAAACCTAAATTATCCAATTTGACTACAGATTAAATGAAATTACCTAGTTTGGCCTTTAAGGCCTTCATTCCATCAACTGCATTTAACTCTTCTAGCCACATTGCTTAATGTTCACCCGTGGGGCTTTGTCCCAGTAGCCAGGCTGGTCTCCTTCACCTGCCCCATGTGTTAACACCATCCTTGCCTCTTTTCCTTTGTCCCTGCAACCTTTTCTTCTTGGAATGGTTTCATTCTCTTCTTTTGCCCTTCCAAGTACTTTCCAAATCAAGGCCCTGATTAAGATGTTTCTCCTGCTTAAAGCCTTCTTTGAACAAGGCTTTCTTAAAATATCCTTTTCTTTTTATTCTGTATTTCAGTAGAAGTCTGCACAATACAGCTTTTTTATGTGCTGTTTTAGTCTTGATCTCAGATTATATACTAATGGCAGGAGGAGAGGCTAACATTTATTGAATGTCTACAATGTGTCAGGTGTTGTTTTATGTTCTTTTCACGGTCTCATCCTTGCTTTATATTATAATCACCTACAAAGTGAAAAAATGTTATGCGGGTGTCCAGTCCTAGCCAGCCTGATTTAAAACAATTGATGTGGGGGCTAGGCATCTGTATCTTTGAGAAGCAGCCCAGACAATTCTAATGTGTATTCAGGGTTGAGAACCACTGGCTATGGATGTGCACAGTATGAATTTTGTTAGATTGCATCTCCTTGGGGAGTGTGTCAGGTTTCACTGAACAAAACTGAACTTGGAGTAACTGAGAAATTTACATTTCATTTCATTAACCAGCAGACTCAAATCTGTAAGTTAAAGAATATTAAAAAATATAAATTATTCCAGGAAGGAAACTCCTTTTTCAATCTTTGTAGTCCCAGCACACAGTGCAGTGCTCAGCACTTGACAGATAGGCAGTACATACTATTTGCCCTAAATTGAAAGGATAGAAGCAAACAAGTAGACACTGCACTTGATATATCTTCTCATGAGCTCTACCAAAACATTAAGACCCTTTGTTTTTCTGTCTTTAAAACACTTTTGAGGCAAAAAATGCGGGCTTCTCTTGTTTTCTGATAAACAGAAAAGTAAAGGATGAATTTACCTAACTTGCTATGCGTGGTGATTGAAGGCAAGGTTTGCAATTAGATCACATAAACAAATTACTTTCAGGTGGACTAAATATTAAAATAAATCAAACTTCATTAGCTAATTGATATTTCTTTGTTCTAACTATTCAAGATAGATGTTTGCTGCTCTTTGGAGTCTTGTTTTGGGTGCCCTCCACCCTAGACTGTCGGTTCAATTGTGTATTATTTGCAAGTCAGAAGTTTAGATTTTTGACTTCTTAGTGGCCACGTACCTGGCATGTGAAAGAGGTCATTAAAACCATCCTTTTGGAATTATTTACTTCCCTGTCATTCTTTATTATTATTTTATTTATAATTTATTAATTTTAATTTATTATTTATTAATTATTATTTAGTTAATTATTTTAATTCATTATTAATGATTAGTTTTAATTAATTTATTAATATTATTATTTGTTATAATAATATTCTTAATTATTTACTTCCCTGTCATTCTTTCCTAGAGGTTTTTTTTTTTTTCTTCCCCCCAGTGGTTGCCTTAGTAAGATACTTTGGAACCTTCTATCATTTCTCCTCATCCTTCTTAAATGCAGTGGTTCCTGAAATTTATTTGAAGGTTTTATTAGTGGTCTTTAGTATTCTTCCTTTGAAATGTCAGTTCAAGTCAGTTAGTACCATAATTTGTTTGTATTGCCAATAAGAATGTGGTTTCACACCATTTAGATTCCTGATGTTCTTCTCCATTACTAAAGGAGAATAAAAAGGACAAAAACAATTTAAAAAATTATTGTTTTCTAGAAAACAGAATAATTTCTCAGTAGCTAAACTTGTAACCTTGCTTGGCTATGGGATACTTGTATCACAGAAACATCTAGTCAGCTAAGTTAAAAAAAATCAGGCTAGTTCACCATTAGGTTGGCTATAAGTTCCCATCTTAAATAAACATGCAAGATAAAAGATATCTTGAATCTGTATCTTCAAATAAGTCATACGGAAAGTTCATGAAGTTTTCTCTGAATACATAATTTTAGTCATTTGGATTCAGACAAGCCCCAGTTTAGTTCCAAAATTTTTAAGTCATTTTGTTTGTAACTCATAACAGTTTCACACAGAAATTGGAAGCTTGATTGGTAGGTGTATCAGTCAGGGTTCTGTAGAAGAACAGAACTAATAGGATATATAGGCATATATATAAAGGGGAGTTTATTAACTATTGACACAAGATCACAAGGTCTCACAATAGGATGTATGCAAGCTGAGGAGCAAGGAGAGCCAGTTCGAGTCCCATAACTGAAGAACTTGGAGTCCAGTGTTTGAGGGAAGGAAGCACGGGAGAAAGATGTAGGCTGGTAGGCTAGGCCAGTCTAGTCTTTTCACTTTTTTCTGCCTGCTTTATATTCTATCTGCACTGGCAGCTGATTAGATAGTGCCCACCCAGATTAAGGGTGGGTCTGCCTTTCCCAGCCCACTGACTCAAATGTTAATCTCCCTTGCAACACCCTTGCAGACACACCCAGGACCAGTACTTTGCATCCTTCAATCTAATCAAGTTGACACTCAGTATTAACCATCATAGTAGGATATGAAATTTGGAGTGTCTCGAGATGTTGTGTTAATACAACCTGACGTCATGCTGTAGAACCTGAACTGTTTATATTTTTTTCCAGAGGAAAGGCCATTTTTTTTTTCTCTCTCATGGAAATCTTGGGAGATGTGTCAGTTGTCCAGGGTCTAGCTCTTACTGAATAGCTGGCAGAGTCATGGTGCATGAAATCTCTATCCCTCATGGCTAGTAATTAATTATTATGTTAAATCTTTATTGTTTTTCTCGTCCTTTTTTCTTTTAATTTGCTGTGAGCAGTCATAATCACATTTCAGATGTGTCGAATGTTAATGAATCAATGAGTTAGCATGTGTTAAATTTGTAGCTAGTCCAGTGCCTGATATATAGTAAGCACTCCTTAAATATTATCATTATAAATATTGTTCAGTGAGCCTACAGTTAATCATTTCTAACATGATAAATGATTAAGCAACTGCATCTAGATGGCACTGATGGGTTTGAAATGCATTTTATCTAGGATCAAATTACCTTTTCTACCTTTTTCAGAGCACCTTCCAAGTAATTCTTAAGGGTTTACAGCACATCTATCAACTTGTCACTTTGTTTTCATCAAAGCAGAGTTTCCTGTTTTGGTCATTACTTAAAAAAAGTATATGGTTCACTAAAGTTAAAAGTGTGATACATATATATATATATATATATATATATATATATATATATATATATACCTTCAATGCAGTGCATTGTTTTAAATGGTGATTTCTTAAGGCCATTCAGTGCTCCTGCAATCATGTGCTCACTGGATTAGCATTTGACTTAGGTCAAAATAGGAACATGTAAAAAAAAAAAGCACTTAATTGGAATTTTACAGTGATTTTCACATAAACCAGCTTAAACAAGATGTATTTATGTATAGCAATCAGGAATTGACTTAAACTCGTGTGTAAATATGCATGTCAAAAAGGTGATTTAAAATGGTGAAAAATTGTACACAATAGAACTTCAAGCCTGGTCACATCACAAAATGTGAAGAAGTCCAGTTCTTTAGTCAAAACTAGAATTGTTACTGTAGATTATGATTACTTTTTTTGCAATTACAGATTTTGATACTGTCATTTTGATTACAGCTTTTTTATATTAAGATAGGGTAATGTAGAGAGATATAATAGACTATTCAATTAAAATGGTTTTTCTGGTTAAATTCAGCATTAAGATCAGATATCTGTAAACCACATTTATCACTAAGAATTTAATTGATCATTTATTTTAAGTAAACCATCCATTTTTAAAATATTTTATTTTCCCACTTTTAGGGCCCTAGGGTTGGGAATTTAATTGATCATTTATTTTAAGTAAACCATCCATTTTTAAAATATTTTATTTTCCCACTTTTAGGGCCCTAGGGTTGGGATGAGAAACATTTTGGTTAGAATAGAAAAATTTGTAATATATATATGTATATATAAGGATGCAATATGTATGCAATATATACACACACACATATTGCATACATATTGCATCCTTATATTAATGATATCAGTAGTATGATCACATTTTCTATGCCCTAATTAAGCAAAAAACAAAACCAAAACCTTTTTTTTTGTTTTCTGTTTCCAGTTAACATGGTAAATGTTTAATTTTATGTCAGCAAATGTAACATTGCTGAGTCTTTTTTTTTCTTTTACCTCAAAAGACAACAACAATAACAACAAAAGTCCAAAACAAAACAGTGCAAGAGCCATCATTTTATTATTTATAGAATGTTTATCTTGGAGGGGAAATAAGTTAGCTAACAGAAATGCTTGAAAATAAACATAATTAGGCAACTTTTATATTTCTTCTTTCTGAAGTACTTCATATATCCATAGCAATAATGAAAATGTAAATCTGCATAAATAATGCCATACTCTTGTAACATACTTTAAGATGTAAAATTCAAATGAAATGATTTATAATTTCCATGACAGTTTTATAGTCAATATAAGAACAACTTATGATAACAATGAAACTTCAAAAAAATTTATAAAACTTTTTGAACATCAGAATTGGTTTCCTTTTTATGCCTTTGCTTAGCGGCCATATTTTCAAAACAGCATTAAAACAAACACTTGATTCTTTAAAAACCCAAGTATTTAAAAAAAACCTAAAAGCATTAATGTTAACAACTTCCCATTGTGTGCTAGGAAGAAAACTGCATTTATGATTAATTTGCAATTTTAAAGCACCCAGGACCCTGAAATGCTATAAAAATTCTTATTGGAAACTATACTTATTTTGATACATCCTTCAAAGAAATTGTGAAAATAAATATAAACAGCTCATCAGTTCGTTAAAATACAAGTCTGAAATTACTGTGTTCTTCAAAAAGGTATGTAGTCATATGGAAACAATATTCACGAATGTGATTAAGAAAAGGAAAGAAGTTGTCCCTTGAATATGAAAGAATAATAATAAAAATATTTATTTTCAAGTCATGTTTTAGATTTCAAGGTCATCAGTTATGAGAGACACCATGTTTTAGGATGGGTCAGGAAGCAGGGGAAGGATTAATTCTTGATCCTCATTCTTTCCCTAAGACCAGGGAAGTTTTCTGTTTGTTCATTTGGAAGACCATTTGTTCATTTACTAAAAAATTTTTTGACTGTTTAGAATGTGCTAGGCACTCTGTTGAATGTGTCATGGTATGGGCAAGTGCCCACTTTAGGCAATCTCCACCTACAGTTATATTGTATTAAACCTATTCTATGAAAGGACATGGTGTGTCTAAGGCACTTAACCAAAGCACAGCATACAGTAAGTGCTCAATAATGGAGAGTTATTATTCATGTTTTATCCTTTATAGCTGTTCTCATCTACTGAGGAAAGAGTTTAACTTAAAATGTTAAATTCAAAGGGGATGATTCATCATTTCTATGATGGTTTTATAGTCAAAATAATAGAACAACTTATACTAATGAGACTTCAAAAAATTTTATAGAAGTTTTTGGCCACCAAAATGGGTCTCTCTTTCATACTTTTGCACAGGAGTAATAATAAATAGTTCATGCATTTCTCCTGAAAACTTTATGAATAGATTATTTTAATAAAACTATGCAGAGCAGAATTACATGGCAACTCACTATACTAGAAACACATATATCTTCAGGGTGACTAGATTACTCTTGAGATAAAATGGGATTATTCTCAAATACTTTAAGTCATGTAAATGTGATCAGAAACACCACTTTTTGTTATGGAATTGCTCAGTAAATTTACTGTTACCAACTTTGGAATCCAACTAACTATATGTTTCAAAGAACCATCTGAAAATAAGCAAAGAGATATAAACTTTAAAAATTAAATGTAAGCACATAACATTTAAATCATTTCTTGGTAAGTAGGATATCTAGAGCTGTGCTATTTAATATAATCCCTAGTCGTATGAGTCTATTTAAATATAAGTGAATTTAGAGTAAATATGCAGTTATTCATTATACTAGCTACATTTTAAGTGTACAGTAGCTGTATGTGGGTAGCAGATACCATTTTGAACAATACAGACATAGACATTTCCAATCATCACAGATAGTTTTCTTGGACAGTGTTGTTCTAGGGTATTTTAAATAAAGGAATATTTGATGTTTACTATTTATAATGATGACCGCACAGAAAATGATCTAAGAAGCTTGGTGTTTCATAGTCTCTTTGCGTCTTTTCACTACCCCTCTCAAATCTTGATGAGATTATTTGGCATGCTCTTTGACAGACAAAGGCTACTTTATAATAACTTTAATTTCAATACAAATTAAAAAACTAAGCAAAGTATTTACTCAATGACTTTTAGGAAACTGGAGTTTTGAATATTGTCTTAAAGAAATGGCTAATCAATGAGATCAATGCTTTCTCTGCAGCACCTTCCAAACCTTTCCTTCTGAGCACCCCGCCATTCTACTCGGCGTGCTGCGGTGGGTCCTGTCGGCGCCCTGCATCCTCCACTGCTTTTCCAAGTAAGTTTTTATCCTTCATCAGCAATGCCTCAGTTATTCTGTAAACCAAAGCTGCAGGATTTAATGTGCTCTGGAAAACTAATTGGTAATGCAATGGCAAGGAGCTAATTCCTCACTAAAAGTCACAGCGATC